>NC_000005.10:97988594-98291625 GCF_000001405.40 Homo sapiens | reverse complement strand
ACTACTGGGGATATAGTGAGGAGCAAAGAAGAAGTGAGTTCCTTTAGAGGGGCCAACACTGTATAAAGTGAGGTCGACCATTATTTAATAAATAATCATTATCTGTTGCTAAAATTTTTAAGTGGAAACACATTCTTCTTCACTATAAGGTGCCTTTTAAATCTATTCTAGCAGGCAACAGGCTTTAATTCTCATTTTGTATTTATTAGACTCTGAAAAGGTATTCAACTTTTTTGAATCTCATTTTTCAAAAAAGTCTGCAAATGGAAATAGTATAGAATCTCACTTCTGCAGTGATGAGGATCTCATGAGGCAATCTTCTTGAAAGCCATTTGACAAGTATAAAGGACTATTCAAATATATAGTGCAATTTCTGCATTACACTATTGTCACATAGATTTTTTTTTTTTTTTGAGAGACACGATCTAACCTTGACACCTGGCTGGAGTGCAGTGTTTTGATAATAGTTAATTGCAGTCTTGCACTCCTGGCCTCAAGCACTCTTCCTTCCTCAGCCTCCTGAGTAACTAGGACTACAGATGCTTACCACCATGCCTGGCTAATTAAAAAAAATAATAATTTTGTATATATGCAGTCTCACTATGTTGTCTAGGCTGGTCTCAAACTCCTGCCCTCAAGTGATCCTTCTGCCTTTGTCTCCCAAAGTGTTGAGATTCCAGGTGTGAGCCACCACACCTGTCAGTCTCTCCTTTACTCCTCTCCATTTTTCTGTCAACCAGCTTCTACAGAAAGGCTCTTAATTTCTATTCTCTCAAAGCTTTGGGCTGTACTCCGCTCTAGCTTGCATAGGGCTGACTGTGGTCCCAAACTATATGTAATTTTAGAATTTTAAGAGAGAATGAAAGAACCTTTTGAAATCAAATGAGATTGGGGGTGTTCAATCTGGTATGGCTATAGACTAAGTATCTTAATTAAAATAATAAGTTAGTGGTCTGTAGGCTGCCACAATCAGTATCAACAGACACCTAAGTAACCTGTCCTTACTGAAAAACAGTTCTGATTTAACTTGCTTTCAGTTATTCCTACCTTACACATTTGATTTTTTCTCCTTTCCAGTTCCTCTTGAAAAATGACAATCATATTTTAAGTTGTGCTTAAGTTTTACTGAGAAAACTTCGGTAAAAATCAAATTTCATGTACAAAAAAAATTAAAAATACAAGAACTACAAAAATAAGATGCACTGGTTTTCTTTAGTTTGTTTATCAAGTAAAGACTATGAATATACTTGATTTAGCAAATATGATTTTAAAAGCTTGATATTAATGACAATTTTAGTGATTATTGAATTAAGTCTATTGTTATTCTTTTGATGTATCAGCATTATGTAATTTTTAGATAGTTATTCATTATTTTTAATGTAAGAAACTAAGCTCAAGGAGATATGATTGAGATAACCTTAGACTTTCTTCTTGGGGACAGATTGTTTTGGTGAAGAAACAGAATCTTATACCATCTTCCTACGTGTTAAATAACTAGTTATACAGAATTAATTTTAATAGTAACCTTTTATTTCTTTACTGAAATAACTTTCAAATATCCTTCAAGTATTTCATTTAATCATCATAACTAATTTGTAAAATATGTTGTTTATATTTTTTCCTATTTAAAGGAAAGTAGACTGAGGCTGCAACTATTAAAAGTCTTACATGTTCCACATCTAGGATTCGGACTCAGAGACCTTTTATGTATTTTCCACAATAAAGTGCTGTCTCTCTGTAGCTGTCAGCTTAGATATATCTGCATGTGTAATGAGATTTATTGATTCACAAGGATTTCTATATAGCAGTATTTATGTCTTTCTTATAGAAAATATTTATTAATGAAAAGAGATGTAATAATGTCAAAAATGTATCTTGTAATTTCTTCTTTTTTGTCTTGATTTCCTCCTTTAGAAAGCCTCCTGATCATATGATTATCATATAGTCAAAGAATCTTCTTTTTTTGTTTGCAGACGTTTGCGGTTCTTGTATGCCAAAGTCGGATAAGACCTATACTATTAGTAATAAATATCACCTCTATCGTCAGCATATGGCTCTAAAAATATACTGTGCAATCCCAGTCTTGCACAAACAATGAATTGGGGTTGCAGTGTGTTAAAATAAGAGGCACTGCAGATGGATAATTTCTGGCAGTTTATTTTGAATTTTATCTCTCCCAATGCTCAGGATCAGTATCAAAGAAGCAGCATACACTGTACTCTTTGTCAAATGCTATGGGCAGTGGTGAGCCCCATGCTTCACTTCTGGAAGCTTAGAAAGATAAGAACATTATGAATTTGCAACAAAAAATCAAAGATCTTGCAAGTATTATCCCTAATAGCAAGGCTGTCAGCTTCCTAAGACTCAATACAGTAAGAATTTAAATCATTTAGCCACTAGCTCATTGTTGCACATTAGCATGACTTTATTATTCCAACAGCTTCTTGCCCAGGAATATAAAGTGGCAAATACTGTATTATTTCAGGCTTACTTCCTGAAAATCCGTGTATCTGAACAATAGACTTCTCTTCAATAGTTTGTCCAACTTGGATCAGCAAATGACTTTTTACTACTCAAGCTTCCTTTCAAATCCTCACTGTGTTCACTAATCTTAAACTATCATACCACAACCTTAACCTAACTCCTACCTAGCCCTCAGCATTGAAAAGACTCACCTTTAAACTAGATTCCCCAAACTTACAAATGTCACAATTTTGTCCTTTCCATCTAAGGTTCTCCTAAGACTCTCTTAAGGTAGTAGTCTCTCTTCTTGCAGTAGACAATAAACTTGGTGCTGATTAATGAACAAATTATTTTTTTGTAGTCTCTTTCAGACATTAGCAGTAGACACTGATAATGGTCCCATAGATGAAAGTCAAAGAAGGCACTCTTTTAGAAAAGACAGGTTTTTCTTCAAGCCTTCTCCCCACTGGGCAGGTCCTAACCTCAATTTCCAAGAGTGAACAGTTTGTTTTCAATGCTCCTCTTCCTGCGGCCTCTATTTTATTGTGCCCTACATATACTTAATTCTACCTACATACACCAGAATGTCAGACAGGGTCCCATAATGACCCCACCCCATGTCTCCATCTCCCGTTATGCATAGTACAGGCATGAGCACATGATGACTGTGTCCACTGGGAAAGCGGCAGATAAAGTAATTCATAAAGAGCTGTTAATAGGTGATAAAACAACTGTCTGCTTTGCTCTTGTGAAAATGTTTCTAAGTGACATTGGAATTAAAGTGGATATGAAAGATGCATTTTGAGGGCCTCTTTTTTGGTTCCACGTCGGTTTCCAATCCTTTTTCCATCCAAAGTTTTAGCTTTGCAGATAGCTAGGGCCTAAAACACAAGTCTTATCAGGGACATGTGTTTTGCCTTTAATTCATTCTCAGAAATCAAATACTCAGTTTACTTAAAATCCTCAGGGAAAAATCATTATTTTCTTCTCTCACTAATAATTAGACAAATGTTCACATATGATGTAACCATGTTTATTTGAATTTTCACTGAAACATGGTGTAAGTGGGAAAAAAGTCACCAAAGCAAGAATTATTTACACTCAACAGTTTGAGTGCTAATATAATTTTAAATTTTAAGTAAACTTATTATATCTACATTATAAATAGCAAATATTCAAATAAATATTAAATTTAGGTTACATGACTGTCAGTAGGGAACCAAATACCGAATTCCTGTTATTCAAAGAAGAGATTATCATACACTTCCTTTTCTGTAATTACTTACCCTTCTCAGTATTATATATAGCAAATGAGATTTTAATTATGCTACAGCTGTTAGGCATATCTTATTTCTTCTCCTAAGATTTACTCTATCTGAAATATGGAACTTGCATTTATCAACTTCTAAAAGGAAATACAAGCTGAAGATGTATCTGTACAGTATAAGGTTTTATGCTAATGAAATGTATGTTTCTCAATTTCATGTTAATGTAAATTATGGCTACCTCCATAGGGCACTCTTGTTCAATAAGAAATAATTTTGATGGGCTGCCTGCTCTTAGAGAATTCTATTGCATGAGTTTTTTTTTTTAGCATTACAGAGGCATTTTAAATAAAAATATGAGTCACTTTGAGAAAATTCATTTTCATATACAAGATAAATGATCTTAAAGCTGAATAGTCTTTTACAAAAGAATCTTGTTGAAGTGAAAAATGTGCTTTGTTATACATTTCACTGCTTTAGTAGCAAAGGGATTTTTTTAATCAGTAAAGGATGTTAATATATGATATATAATATTTATATAATAATAAAATTTATAGTTTTTTGATACAAAATTTACAGTACTTTGACTTTTTATAACAGCCATTGCCCTAGAGACACTAGTGTTGGAGGTACAAGTACCCATAAAAATATTAGCATCATTAACATTAATACACAACTTAGCTCCTTTATTTGATGTGAGTAGAAATGTATTACAAATGAAAGCAAGTCAGGGAGTCATGTTGCCTTCTTGATGTTCCTTCTTGAAGGAACTTAATAACCTTCAAAGAATCGTCTAACAACAATACATCCTCTAATTTTAAATTTTATAATAACTTTTCAATTCTCACTCTTTCTTTCTCTGTCACACACACACACACACACACACACACACACCCCAGTATTGCATTTCCCCTTTTTCCAGCTTCTCTAAGTCATGATGATGTTTTGTTTGTTTCGTTATTTCATTGTGTATTGTTTTGGTTATTGCCAGCAGTAGCAAGTCATCCCTTTGCTCTTGAAATTATACCGTATGCTGTTTGCCGGACCCTTTCCTAAAGGCCTTTCTTTTTGTTCACTTACATTTGTGGTTATGATGTCCCTAGAAAATGGCATTTGCCTGATGGCAGATTAGGGAGTTTAATTTCCATATGGGGTGTGTGTGTGTGTGTGTGTGTGTGTGTGTGTACTGTGGACCCTTACCTTCGACAAAGACTCCTTCCTTGCCCAAACTTTAGTCAGGCTCCTCTGAGCACTCTTTCCAACTAGATCTCATCCTTGGGTACTGTCTTCTGCCTCCGTAACTCAGTTTCAGCACAAATCATGCTCAGGCAGCTTAGAGAAGATCCCTCACCCTTCATATCTCATCAAATTCTTCACTTTCTGCCCTTGATCTCTGATGACCCTGACCTACCTTCAGCAAGAACCCTAGATTGGTTTAGCAATAATCCCCCTAATATTGCTATTTCTTCTTGTAATTTTTACTCAGTGACCCCACATTCTGCTCATTGGCTGTAAATCCTCAGAGGTCTTTGCTGTTTTTGGAGTTCAGCCCAATCTCTCTCCCTTACGGTGACAGTCTTGATATATATACCACGAGTCCTGAATGAAGCCTTCCTTATCATTTTAACAAGTGTTAGAATACTTTTTTCTTTAACAATCTCATTATCAACCCTTCGCCTAGTTCTGGACCCCACAACAAGACCTAAAATATAACTGGAAATTTCATTTTGTGGAATTTTCAGAGATCAATGTCTTCTGACAGCTTTTGTGCGTCTTCTCTTCAAGAGTTTGCACAAAAAGATAAACATTGACATTGCAAGATGTTCAGCTTACTCAGAGCTCTAGTGAACATGAATGTGGAGAGACACATGGGTACAATGATTTCCAACTTCCCCACTCAAAAGGTTTAAGCAGGTCTCCTGTCACTGCTTTTTGGGAGGTCTCATAGGTGTGACACATTGAGAGAATGTTTGGGTCACAGAATAAGGCAAAAGAATACTTAACTATACTAAAGAGAAAGTAGAAAAAAAATGAGTGATAAAGCAGACAATATACCCAGGGTGTGGGGACTGAATTTTGTGGGTGAAAGTTGGAAAAGTGCTCTCACTTCTGTCCAGAACATAATCTTTTAATAATTCTTCACTTTTCCCTTTTATTATTCTTCTCTTTTATTTCCTCTTTTTTTCTCCCACATTTCATTTTTCCTTTCTCAGAAACAGTCAACCATTATACCATTTATACATGCTACAATTTGCAGGTCCCTCTCTACTCTGAGAAATATTTTATTTGTGTTATTTCAATAATCTTCAATGCAACTCTCATTAAGTTGATGTAATTATGTTCCTTTTACAGATGAGGAATCTCAAGTATGTAGTGATTAGGTGATTTATTCATGGTCACATAGCTAATAAGAGGCAAAGTCAAAATTTAAACTCAGCCCTGCCCCAAACGTATTATTTGATATATTACCAGTATTTTCCAAGATTTATTGTAGGCTGATAAATGACCTGGAGATCTCATTAAAATGTAAAACTGGACTCAGAAGCTCTGTGTTGGGACCTGAGATTCTGCCTTTCTGAGGGATGCTGATGCTGCAATCTTCCGCGCCACACTTTGAGTAGCATTTGTTGGCCACTAATTGGTTTTCACAGATAATATGTTTACTCATAATTTCATCTCATTATTTTGGTATATGTCCAAAACATTACAGATTAATTTATATCCAAGTCTGTATTCTTTGCTCAATCCAAGGCTCAGAACTTTCTGGTATTAGTAGGATTTCCCCCATAAATAAATTCTCCCTTAAGGGCTTTGCTTAGACAAAAATATCAAATGTATTAATATCTTTTTTTGTCTTCAGTCCATCCATCAAATTTCTCATTTCACAATCATTTTTTTTCTCCACCTCCTCTGAACTCCTTTTAATTTATGTAGATCTTTTGGGCACCAACAAGCACAAATTGAATGCTGTATTCCAGGTGCAGGCCCATCATTCATATGGAAAATACTATCACATCACATCTCTCTGTTGTATGAAACAAGAGATACAATCTTTCTCAGTGTTAAGTCCAAAAGAGCCCTGCATGATTTTGTGACTGAACTGTATTGAAGATTTCTATCTAATTTGACATTGTAATTTACAGCCTCAAATATCTGTGCTTCTTCAAAAGAACTAATTTACATATTTGAAGCTGGATGACATGTTTTTTCTTATTCCCTGCATGTTTCATCCTTTTTTTTTTTTTTTTTTTTGTTACTGATGTTAGCACACAACAATCTCCATTTTAAAATTTGGGTTGGTAGTTGGTGGGGAGCCTCTTCTGTATCCTTTATAGCTTGTGCACTGCTGTCAGGGTAGAAGCATACTTCATATCCGAATGGCTTGTGGATTGAAATGCTGGATCTCTAGGGCAGGATTTTCAGATTAGTTGAGAGCATGATAAGGTGTCATGGACTTTCATTTTGGGAAGCTCTGTGAGACAAGTCCAACCAAAATTATTGCCGATTAATTGGTTAAAATGTTTGAACTCTGGTATATTATAAATTTTCATTTTCAGTAGTTGTTTTTTATCACTATGCTTATGGTACCTTTAGCTGCTTAGAAATGTTTCTTTCGAAAAATTCCAGTCTAATCCCAGATGATCCACAAGGAAAAGGATTGATTCGTGCCTATATCTGGAATGCTAAGTGGGAAGGCTTTTCCAAGCCCAAGGTCTCCTTTTAATTAGATTTATACATATTCAAAGAATAGTAGTACCAATATTTCAGAAACTTGTGTTTATGCAATTTATAGTTAAGGCTTGGTAAACTGCGCTTCACAACTGTAACTCCAGCAGAGATATAGTAAAATCACTCAATAAAGAAGCTGGAAATGCCTGCACCTAGAAAGATCTAGTTGTGTGTGTGTGTATGTGGTGGGGGTGGGGGTGGGGGAGGATAGGTATGTGTGCGTGTGTGTGAAAGAAAAAGAGGGAGAAGAAACTAGAGGCAAATTTTAATTTTTTTCCTAATTTATTTATAATTAGAATTTTCTATCATAGGGTCTTCTTTGAGTCCACAGCCTAAAATTATATGTCACATGACATAGATTTGGGTGTCTATGACACCTAAACGGTGTCTCCAAGTTCTATCACATACTTGTATTCTTTTTTATTTTATTGTGATTTATTTTAAATAGCAATCATTTGGAATTATAAAAATAATCATAACTAATAATAACTAACATTTATTGGATGTTTACTATGGCAAGCACTATGCTAAATGTTTTAATAGCATAACATTTGATCCTCACAAAAATCTTGTTAGTTGGGTATAATTGTAAATTTATTTTATTTATGAGGAAACTGAAGCTAGAGAGATTAAGTACATTGTCAGAGGCTCCTTATTACGTAGCTAGATAAGGATTATAATCTCAATTTTTTTGACTCCAGAAATAATATATATATAACTCATACACTATATTTTTATGTCTGTCCAAATCTCTGTGTCATGAAAACAATTAGTTAATTCTTACCAGTAGCAAAAAGATGATAATCAATAAAATTATGCAATGCAAGTTCTATAGAAGAAACCAAAGATGGCTACTATGTGATTCCCTACAACTGCGTGCCTAAATTAGTAGGTTAATGTATTTACATCTACACTTCAAATACAGTGCTATACTAAATGCTATAATGGAAGAAGAAATTAATATTAATGAAGGGGAGAGAGGAGAGATTTATTTTAACAAAAGGATTCTGGAATGACTTTCAAAGAAGATACGAGCTGAAATGAGATTTAGGGAATATTTAGAGCTTTGGCATGTGGTTACAGAATTGCAGGTAAGGGAGGGGAGATGGCAACTGGCAAACACTCAAAGGCAAATAGTCCAGGGATTGGAGGACATGTTTAGAGAATAGCAGAAGTATTAGATAAATAAACCATAGGAAACACAGAAGGAAGAAGGAACACTGATACATGGGAAATGAAAGTAGAAAGGCTCAAGATGAACTGTATTTAAAGTTTACTAGTAGGGAAATGGAATATCACAAATTTTGCATTGTCATATGACAAGGTCAGATCTATGTTTTAGAAAGCCATTTAGTCACTAAGTGAACGGAGCTTTAGACAGGTGCAGGGAGTCCAGTTAAATAATAATTGGAAATGAGCCATTGAAGAACAGTTTGGGGTGTGGGCTGGAAAGATAATGTGTATATTCACTTGTGGTTACTCTGAAGTCAAGCTACAATGTATACTATAAGTTTCAAATATGAGAAGTTGCATGATTAATCTGTTATCTAAAATAGCACCTATTTAGGACACACCCTACTTATTTTATTTGAGACTTAGGATGTTGTATAATATCAGCTGATAAAAAGTTTCTAAATTTTATATAATATATTTTTTTCTTGATTTACATTTTATTCTAAACATTTTTTTTTTTTTTTTTTTTTTTTGAGATGGAGTCTAGCTCTGTCGCCCAGGCTGGAGTGCAGTGGCACCATCTCGGCTCACTACATGCTCTGCCTCCTGGGCTCACACAATTCTCCTGTCTCAGCCTCCCGAGTAGCTGGGACTACAGGCCCCGCCACCACGCCCGGCTAATTTTTGGTATTTTTAGTAGAGACAGGGTTTCACTTTGTTAGCCAGGATAGTCTCGATCTCCTGACCTTGTGATCCGCCAGCCTCGGCCTCCCAAAGTGCTGGGATTACAGGGGTGAACCACCGTGCCCGGCCTATTCTAAACATTTTAACAGAATATTACCATTCTAACTCCTGGTGTTTTGAAAGACTTTCATGTCAAACAAATCATAATATAACTAGAATAATTTAAAAAGAAAAGATAGGCCTGCAGGAATCTTAAAAAATGAAAATAACAAGACCGTTTCCTTTAAATTCTTTGAGACATTAATTCTTTTTTTGAGAAAGGAATGAATTAGATGACTTATTGAGTTATTTTCAACTTTAGTTTCCATGAATCTGAGATTCATAGATGAGAAAAAATCTTTTATCTTTTGACTGATGGTCCTTCTAATCACTGTTTTTTCCACTGCTGCCAAAAATAAGATTTCTCCAAATATAAACATGTTTCAAGCAGACTTTTTGCTCTGTAAATCTCCAGTGATAAATACAACCCTGAACATTGCAGTTTGGAGTTGTAAATAACCCAAAGTTGAATTTATAGAATTCTAGAGATACATTTTGTTCAGCCACCCCCTATTTTATATCCAAGTTTAGAATTCTCTGACATTATTATATTAGAAACAAAGTTCAAAGCATTAAAATATAATTTAATGTATTGAAATGCTTCTTTTAAACAAATTCTATAGATTTTAAATTATTATGAAATTACATTTCATTTCCATAACTACCCAATTATCTGTTAATTATCTGCATAATTTGTTAACAAAATCCTCAGTAACTGGCAGTGTGCTGCTGACAGTATGTCAGACCAGATATTTTGAGGAGGCTTTCCTGTTATAAAATAATTAGATCCTGCATAAAATGTGTATGTACATATATAGGTGAATATATACTCCCAGGGAGTAAGAAAGTCCTCATGTAGCCAAAAATATATGACCAGAAAACACAAAGAATATTATTACATGAAGTCAGGTGCTGATCCCGAAATTAGGGAGTGGTTTGCAGGGGTCCCTGAATTAGGACTTGAGCCAATAACACAAAGTAGGGATTGCTGAATGAGACATCCTGAGACCAAAAGAAGGGGTGGAAGTAGCTTCAATTTGGTAAAACTGCCTGACTTTCAAAAGAAGCAAATGCGAATTTCTGTCAAGACGAAAACACCCTCAAATTTGGTCAGCACATTATCCACATAATCAAATTAATCAAATATGAACTTATAAAGATTATCAGACATGCAAGAAACCAAATCAACATGGAAGAGAGTCATCAAAACAATAAACAGTAGATTTAGATTTCCTAAGGATCCTAAAATCTCAAGTATCAGATACAAACTTTTAAATTCTTACTTTGGAAATGTTTACCAAAATAAAAATGGGATAACAAAAATAGCAATTAATAAGAAGTTGTTAAAATGTCCAGAGTAATTTGATAAGTTAGGGTTGCCCAAAGAAACAGAACCAATAGACTCGATTCAACCATCTATCTGTTTATCTATCATCTATCTATCTATCTATCTATCTATCTATCTATCTATCTATCTATCCATCCATCCTATCTATCTATCTATCTATCTATCTATCTATCTATCTATCTATCTATCTATTTATCATCACCTATCTAGCTTTATTTTAAGAAATTGGCACATGTGATTGTGGAGGCTTGCAAATTTGAAAATTGTAAGGCAGGCTGGCAGGCTGGAAACTCAGGCAAAAGTTCATGTTCCAGAGTCAGTTCTGAAACCCACAGGACAGGCTGGCAAAATAGAAACTCAGGCAGGATTTCTATGTTATGGTTGAGGCAGAATTCCTTCTTAAGGTAATCAGTTTTTGCTCTTAAGGTGTTCAACTAAGCGGCTCAGCCAATTTATTGAGGATAATCTCCTTTTCATACGGTCAATTAGTTGTAAATGTTAATTACATCTACAAAATACTTTCACAAAACATTATGTTATTATTTGACCAAACAACTGGGCTCCATTGCCTGGCCAAGTTGACACATAAAATTTGCCATTGCAGAAACAAATAAAATAAACTTTTAAAAATAAAAAATATAATTATTAAAATTTTAAAAATTAGTAAATGGTTTAGTAGCAAAGTAGAGTACAATTGAGAATTTTGCAATGGAAGATATAGCCAAAGAAATTACTCAGATGTACAAGAAAATAGAAAATATAAGAGTAATTAATAAATAAGAAGGAAATAGTAAAAAGTGCTAACATCTGACTAATTGAAGGCCCAGAAAAAGACATGGAGAAAGAAAAAGAATGGAGAAGGGATAATGCTTGAAGAAATAACAACTGAAAAGACACAAATACACAGGTATTAGAAGTACATTGTATCAAGCAGAAACCAAGCCACGTAAAAAAAATGCTACCCACAGCCATCACACGCCAGCATACATTGAGTAGGCTCATTAGAACATATCTAAATTGATTACACTAATTATAACTAAAATCTGCAGACAAAACACAAAACACAACTATCTGAGGACTCAGAAACTCCAGACACAGATGGTTTTGGGGGAGAATTCTACCAATTCTACAAAATCTCTTACATTTCTCATTTTGCTTCATTGTCCTGATGACAAAATATAAGAAAAAATAAACTATAAATGAATAGCTCCCATGAACTTCAAGATGCACATGTCTGCAATAAAACATATCTAGTAAATCACATCCAGCAGTACATAAAAGAGTGATAATACATCATGACCAAGTGTGGTTTATTTTAGGAGTGCCAGGCTAGTTTAATATTGAAAAAATAATCAGTGACTTACCATTTAAAGGCTAAAAAAGAAAAGTCACATGATCATATGAATAGCTACAGAAATGAATTTTAAGCGATTAAACAAGCTTTAATTATAAGAACTCTCAGAAAGCTCAGAATCATCTAAACTTTCCTTAACTTAATAAAGGATGTGATATTAGGTTTCTATGGCTCCTGTAATAAATTACTAGTTAGTGGCTTAAAACAATGCATTTTATTATCTTATAATTCTGGCAATTCAAACACCAGTTGCTCCATGAGCTCTTCCCTGATCCTTCCAAATGGGTGTAATCCTTTCATTTTTTGAACTTCAACAAAATTTTGCATGTTCCATTTTGTTCTACTTGAATTCTAATATAATTATTTGTTTACTGACTTATCTCCTTAAAAAAGTTCATGCTCTGCTCATTGAAATAAAGGACTGTGCCATTTTCATATCCTTTGAATATCTAGCTGCTAGTAAGGTGTATGGGCTGCATTGGATGCCCCCAAAATTCATATGTTGAAGTCCTCACCTCTAGTACCTCAGGATGTGTCTGTATTTGGAGAGAGGGTCTTAGAAGAGGTAATTCAATTGAAATATGATTGTTAAATTGGGCCCTACTCCACATGACTGTTGTCCTTATAAGAGGAGAATAGGAGTCTGGGCACGGTGGCTCACACCTGTAATCCTAGCACTTTGGGAGGCCGAGGCCAGCGGATTGCCTGAGCTCAGGGATTCGAGACCACCTGGGCAACATGGTGAAAGCCTGTCTCTACTAAAATAAAAAAAAAATTGAAAAAAATAGCCGGGCGTGGTAGCGTGCGTCTGTAGTCCCAGCTACTCCAGAGGCTGAAGCAGGAGAATTGCTTGAACCTGAGAGGCGGAGGTTGCAGTGAGCCGAGATTGTGCAACTGCACTCCAGCCTGGTGACAAAGCAAGACTGTCTCAAAAAAAAAAAAAAAAAAAAAAAAGAAAAGAAAAGAAAAGAAAGAAAAGAACAAGGAACCAACCCAAATGTCCAACAATGATAGACTGGATTAAGAAAATGTGGCACATATACACCATGGAATACTATGCAGCCATAAAAAATGATGAGTTCATGTCCTTTGTAGGGACATGGATGAAATTGGAAATCATCATTCTCAGTAAACTATCGCAAGAACAAAAAACCAAACACTGCATATTCTCACTCATAGGTGGGAATTGAACAATGAGATCACATGGACACAGGAAGGGGAACATCACACTCTGGGGACTGTGGTGGGGTGGGGGGAGGGGGGAGGGATAGCATTGGGAGATATACCTAATGCTAGATGACGAGTTAGTGGGTGCAGCGCACCAGCATGGCACATGTATACATATGTAACTAACCTGCACATTGTGCACATGTACCCTAAAACTTAAAGTATAATAAAAAAAAAAAGAGGAGAATAGGAAACACAGAGGAACACCAGGGCTGTGCATGCACAGAGGCATGAACCCTGTGAAGAGGCAGCAAGAGGGTAGCTATCTGCAAACCAAAGAAAGAGGCTTCAGAAGAAACCAACCCACAGCTGGCACCTTGATCTTGGACTTACAGCCTCCAGACAGAGAAAATAAAGTTCTATTATTTAACCTATCCAGTCAGTGGCATGTTGTTATGCTAGCTGTAGCAAACTAATACATAAGGTAATTCATAAATATTTCTATATTCAATTGTATAAAATTGTTCTGTGGTGTGGAAAGATGACATGAGTGTGCCAACACTATCCTAACCCTGCTCTAATTATATATTATATATATAATTGTATATGTTTATATATAAACATTTATAGAAATATGTTTATATGTTATATACATAAACATATATATTTTTTTCTGACCATTTAACTTTGCTGGCATTTGGTGGGAGGAAGTTAGTACAGAGGTTGGAGTCAGCACCTTAGAAAGTTTCTCTCCTTTATAAAGCTAAGGTTGTTGTTGGATATTAGAACTCTTCAAAGAAGAGTAGCCATTTTATCTTTCTCAATAATTACTATTTAAGAATGTTTATATTCATTTAAACCAATATTTATTAGAAGCATATCCAATAATTTAGAGAGAAAAGATTGATATTTGAATTTGACTTCCAAATAAAGAAAATTAGGCATCAAAAAACGTGAAAACTTTAAGGTCCATTTAATGTGGAATTTTTTACATTTTTGGTGAGCGGTTCATTAGAATAGGAACTATGGATGGGGTACCTCTGTGTGTGTGGTGTGTTTGTGTTTGTGTGTTGTGGATGAAGCATGAGCAGTGGGATATACAAGAATTATATTACAGTGAACTATTTTTGTCTTGGCTGAGTATCCAATGTGATTTGAAGAAAAAAACAACAAAAACGAAAACCTTACCTCTATTAAATGGTCCTAGCAGAAAGCCCCAAATATTATGTGCCTCATCATAGAAAATAGCACAAAATCTAGTTGTTCACACTCTAGAGCAGGAAGCTCAGAGTTGGGGAGTGATCTAGAAGCTTTCTTTATATGTCCTTTGAGAGTTAGAACTTAGTCATGTATTTCTTCTTTGCTTAACATAACACAGCCGCTGATAAATGATCAGCACTTCCTTGTTGGCATGAATTATACCAAATTAAGGTAGAGAAATCCAATGCATACTTTGATATTTTGCTGTTTTGTCCCTCTCATACTAGAAGAAAATTTTCTGAGGCCTCTGAATCACACATCAGACTTGTTATCTGTACACAATTGGCAACACTGTTTTTCAGAGTGATCAAATAAGTCATTGTCAAGAGTGTATATGCTAGCAAAAACTGGAGCTATGAGGGTTATGATCAATTTAGAGTAAATGTAAATAGAGCTGAAGTGGCTATTAGGGCTTTGGCATGACCTGTTCAGACCAGCATTTCTCATGTTCTGATTCAAATTCCCACCTGCACTCAAGTGAGTGAAAGCTCCAAACTGATATTTGGAAAAAAAAGGATAAAAAAGAGATGCAACAATCTCATTAACAAATATTAAATAAATTGATTTTTCAACGTAAATGTTTAGATTAAATTTCTATGAATTTAATCAGATCCTAGAGTGCTGGCTCTGTCCTCCTTCTTCCCCCCTGTTTGATATTGTCTGAATGTAAAATGTTTTCCTATTGTTGATATGGTGCTAATAAAAATGATGCCCACACTGGCAGGCCATCAGGCTTTTCATTATATGAAGAATTGTATGAATTTCATTTTATTTGAAATATAAAGAAAATCATTATATGAATTATTATATGAATTTCATATAATAATTTCATATATAACATACTATATTATATGAATTATTATATATACTTTACATATTATTATATGAATTTCAATGACAACAAAGTCAACAGTCTGAGTCTTTAAATTGACAGACATTTAACCTGGTGGTTTCTTGAAGAATAGCAGCTTATTTGAAGACTCATAATTCTTTTCTTATGTTTATTGTCCCAGAAAGGACAATAAACTTGCTTTTTTAAATTGCTGCCTTCTGCTCGGAATTAACTTCAGTTTATTATTCCCATTTGTTGTATGGAGATCATAACTTTGAGAAAATAAATGTCTAGAGCAAGCATTATTAGGACATTGATTATTGATTTTATTGGAACGAATGACTCTGATGGATAAGAATGCAGTTATTTTGTGGCAGTCTGAAAATTTTTGACATAAGAAAAAATATGTATGTTGAGTGACTTTAGCTTGTTACTGTGTAAAAAAAAGCAAAAAGCTTTTAAATGATTTACTGGAATGAAACATGACCTTTCTCTTGAAGTATTTTTGTGCCAAGGAGTATAAGGTTTTTAATTTTTTTAAGATTTTTTATTATGTTTTAAAAATTAAACAAAAGTTAGAGAAATGTTGGGATTACAGGCATGAGCCACTGTGCCTGACCTCCCATTTTATTATTTTTAAATATTTTCTCAATTTTCTTTATTTTTAATTTTTATGGGTACATTGCTGTATATATTTGTGGGGTAGATGAGATATTTTGATACAGGCATACAATGTTTAATAATCATATCAGGGCAAATGGGGTTTTTAGCACCTCAATCATTCATCATTTATTTCTGTTATAAATATTCTAAATGTACCTGCTCAGTTATTCCAAAATATACAACAAATTATTACTGAAGTCACTCTCTTGAGCTATAAAATAATACATCTTATTTATTGTATCTAACCATATTTTTGTTCTCATTAACCATCTCCATTACCCAACCCTTTACCCCCACTACCATTCCCAGCTTCTGGTAACCATCATTCTACTCTCTATCTCCATGAGTTCAATTGTTTTAATTTTTAGCTCCCCAAAATGAGTGAGAACATGAGAAATTTGTCTTTCTGTGCCTGGCTTATTTCATTTAACATACTGTCCCCCAGTTGTTCATGTTGTTGTGAATGACTGGATCTCATTCTTTCTTATGGCTGAATAGTACTCCATTGTGTATATGTACCACATTTTCTTTATCAGTTTATCTGTTGATGGATACTTAGGTTGCTTTCACATCTTGGCTATTGTGATTAGTGCTGCAATAAACATGGGTATTTATGTTTATGTATTACAGATATCTCTTTAATATACCGATCTCCTTACTTTTGAAAACCTAGCATTGGGATTTCTGGCTCATATAGTAGTTGTATTCTTAGTTGATTATTATTATTATTATTATTATTATTATTATTATTATTATTACTGAGATGGGGTCTTGCTATGTTGCCCAGGCTGGTCACAAACTACTGGGCTCAGGGATCTGCCCATCTCGGGCTCCCAAAGTGCTAGGATTACAGGTGTGAGCAACCATGCCAGGCCTTATTCTTAGTTTGTTGAGGCACATCAATACTGTTCTCTATGGTGGCTGTACTGATTAACATTCCCACCAAAACTGTACCAGGGTTCCCCTTTCTTCACATCCTCTCCAGAGTTCGTTATTGTTCGTCTTTTGGATAAAAGCCATTTTAACTGAAGTGAAAAGATATCTCATTGCAATTTGTGTTTGCATTTCTCTGATGGTCACTAATTTTGAGCAACTTTTAATATACCTGTTTGCCATTTTTATGTCTGCTTTTGAAAAATGTCCATTCAGGTATTTTGCCCATTTTTAAACCAGATTATTAGATTATTTCCCATTGATTTGAGTTCTTTATATATTTTGGTTATTAATCCTTTGTTAGATGGATAGTTTGCAGTTATTTTTTCCCATTCTGTGGGATCTCTTTTTGTTTTACCATTTCATTTGCTGTACAGAAGCATTTTAACTTGATGTAATCATATTTGTCTATTTTTGCTTTGATTGCCTGTGCTTTAGGGAGTATTACTTAAGAAATCTTTGCCCGCACCAATATCCTGGAGAGTTTTACCAATGTTTTCTTGCAGTAGTTTCATAGTTGGAGGTCTTAGATTTAAGTTTTAATAATCCATTTCGATTTGATATATGTATATGGTGAGAGATAGAGCTCTAGTTTCATTCTTCTGCTTATGAATATCCAGGTTTTCCAGCACCGTTTATTAGAGACACTGTCCTTTCCCCAATGTATGTTGTTGCACCTTTGTCAAAAATGAATTGACTGTAGTTATATGGATTTATTTCTGGGTAGTCTATTCTGTTACACTCGTCTAGGTGTCTGTTTTTATGCTACTACTATGCTGTTTAGGTTACCATTGCTGTGTAGTAGAGTTTGATGTCAGGTAACGTGATTCCTCTAGTTTGCTCTCTTTGCTCAGGATGGCTTCAGCTATTCTGGCTTTTTTGTGTTTCTGTATAAATTTTAGGATTATTTTTTCTATTTCTACAAAATACTTGATACAATATATTTCTGTGAAGAATATCATCAGTATTTTTGACAGAGATTGCACTGAATTTGTAGATTGCTTGGGTAGTATGAACATTTTAACAACATTACTTTTTCCAATACATGAACAAGGAATATCTTTCCATTTTTTGTGTGTGTCCTCTTTAATTTCTTTCATGAGTGTTTCACAGTTTTCATTGTAGACATTTTTCACTTCATTGGTTAAGTTTATTCCCAAGCATTTTATTTTATTTGTAGCTATTGTAAATGGGAGTACTTTCTTTATATCTTTTTCAGCTTGTTCACTATTGGTATATAGAAATGCTACTGATATTTTAATGTTGATTTTATATCCTGCAACCCTGAGTTTGCTTATCACATTTAATAGTTATTTGGTAGAGTCTTTAGGATTTTCTAAATATAAGATTATATTACATGTAAAAAAGGATAATTTGTCTTTTTTCTTTTCAGTTTGTATACCGTCTATCTCTTTCTCTTGTCTAATTGCTCTACCTAGGGCTCCCATTATTATGTTGAATGATAGTGTTGAAAAAGCATTCTTGTCTTTTTCCAGATCTTAGAGGAAAGGCTTTCAGTTTTTTTCCAGTTTGGTATGATTCTAGCTGTGGGTCTGTCATATATGGCATTTATTGTATTGAGGTGTGTTCTTTTTATACCCGTTTTTTGTGGGGTTTCTTTTTCGTGAAAGGATGTTGAATTTTATCAAAAGCTTTTTCAGCATCAATTGAAATGATCATATGTTTTTTGTTTTTCATTTTGTTGATATGATATATCACATTGATTGATTTGCATATGTTACGACATCCTTGCATCCCCGGGATAAATCCTACTTGGTTATGAGGCATGATATTTTATTGTGTTAAATTCAATTTGGTAGTATTTTATTGAGGATTTTTGCATTAATATTCATTAGATATATTGGCCTGTAGTTTTCCTTTTTTGATGTATCCTTTTCAGGTTTTCTTATCAAGGTAATACTGGCCTTGTAGAATGGGTTTGGAAGTGTTCCTTCCTCCTCTATTTTTTTGGAATAGTTTGAGAAGGTTTGGTATTAGTTTTTCTTTAAACGTTTGATAAAATTCAGCAATGAAGCCATGGAGTCCCAGGCTTTTCTATGCTGGCCGACTTTGTATTATGGCTTTGATCTCATTACTTCTTACTGGTCTGTTCAGGTTTTGGATTTCTTCATGGTTCAATCTTGGTAGTTTGTATGCATTTAGGAATTTATCTGTTTCTTCTAGGTTTTTCAGCTTCTTGACATGTAGTTGCTCACAGTAGCCTCTAATGATCCTTTGCATTTCTGAGGTGTGAATTGTAATGTCTCCTTTTTCATCTCTGATTTTATTTGGTTGGATTTTCTCTGTTTTTGTCTGAGTCTGGCTAAGGGCTTGTTGATTTTGTTAATCTTTTAAAAAATAGAACTTTTCATTCGGGCACGGTGGCTCACACCTGTAATCCCAGCACTTTGGGAGGCCAAGGTGGGCGGATCACGAGGTCAGGAGATCGAGACCATCCTGGCTAACATGGAGAAACCCCGTCTCTATTAAAAATACAAAAAATTAGCTGGACGTGGTGACGGGCGCCTGTGGTCCCAGCTGCTCCGGAAGCTGAGACAGGAGAATGTCGTGAACTCGGGAGGTGGAGCTTGCAGTGAGCCAAGATCACACCACTGCACTCCAGCCTGGGCTACAAAGCAAGACTCCATCTCAAAAAAAAAAAAAAAAAAAAAAAAAAAAAAGAAAACTTTTCATTTTGTTGGTCTTTTGTGTTTTTTTTTTTTTCAATTTCACGTATTTCTGCTGATATTTAGTTTTTGTTATACTCATGTTGGGTTTGGTTTATTCTTGCTTTTCTATTTCAGCTGCATAATTAGGTTGCTTGAAGTTTTTCTACATTTTGATGTAGGCACTTATTGCTATGAAATTTCCTCTTAGTACTTCTTTTGCTGTATCCCATGGGTTTTAGTATGTTATGTTTCCATTTTCATTTGTTTCTAGGAATTTTATAGTTTCTCCCTTAATTTCTTTATCAACCCACTGGTAATTCAGGAGCTTATTATTATTATTATTATTATTATTATTATTATTTTATTTATTTATTTTTGAGACGGAGTTTCACTCTTGTTGCCCAGGCTGGAGTGTAATGGTGCAATCTCGGCTCACTGGAACCTCTGACTCCCGGATTCAAGTGATTCTCTGCCTTAGCCTCCCAAGTAGCTGGGATTGCAGGCATGAGCGACCACGCACAGCTGATTTTGTATTTTTAGTAGAGACGGGTTTTCGCCATGTTGGTCAGGCTGGTCTCAAACTCCCGACCTTGGGTGATCGCCCGCCTTAGCCTCCCAAACTGCTGGGATTACAGGCATGAGCCACCACACCTGGATGAGGAGCATATTATTTAATTTGCTTCTGTTTGCATAGTTTCCAAAGTTCTTCTAGTTATTTTTTTCTAGTTTTATTCCATTATGGTTAGAGAAAATACTTGATACAATTTCATTTTGAGTGTTTTAAGACTTGTTTTGTGGCCTGACATATGGTCTATCCTTGAATAGTTCACATGTTGAAAAGAAGACTATATTCTGTAGCCATTGGATGACATTTTCTGAAAATGTCTATTGCGTCTATTTGGTCCATAGTGCAGATTAGGTCTTCTGTTTATTTGATGTTTTTCTGTCTGATGATCTGTCCAATGCTGAAAGTAGTATGTTGAAGCTTCTAGATATTATTGTATTGAGTCTATCTCTCTCTTTAGCTCTAATAATATATGCTTTGTATAATAGGTGCTGCAGTGCAAAGACCATATATATTTACAATTGCTATATCCTCTTGATGACTTGACCTCTTTATCACTATATAATAATTTTGTATGTCTCCTTTTATAGTTTGTGTCTTGAAATCTATTTTACCTGATATAGTATAGCTATTCCTGCTCTTTTTTGGTTTCCATTTGTATGGAATATCTTCTCCCTCCTTAATTTTCAGTCTATGTGTATCTTTATAGGTAAAGAGCATTTCTTGTAGGTAACAAATTGCTGGGCCTTATTTTTTATCCATTCACCCACTCTATGCCTTTTGATTGGAGAGCTTAGTCCATTTACATTCAATGTTATTATTGACAAATAAGAACTTGCTCCTGCCATTTTATTATCTGTTTTCTGTCATTTTGTTGTCTTCTCTTTCTTCCTTCCTTCTTCCCTGTCTTCCTTTTTGTGAAAGCGATTTTCTGTGGTGCTATATTTTAATATATTGCTTTATCTTTTTCAAATCTTTTGTAGGATTTTTAATTTGAGGTTACCATGAGGCTTGCAAATAACATCTTATAATCCATTATTTTGAACTGATGACAACTTAATACTGATTGCAGAAGGAAACAAACAAACAACCAGAGAGAAAACTATTAAAATCTCTATACTTTAATTTCATTCTCACCCCCATTTTTATCTCTTTGTTCTTTCTATTTTTATTATACTGTCTATGTGTTACACATTTTTGTAATTATTATTTTTGGTAGATTAGTCTTTTAGTTGTCCTACTCAATATATGAGTAGTTTACACACTGCAATTAAAACATTCTAATTTTCTGTGTTTGTCTGTGTACTTACTATTACCAGTGAGTTTTGTACCTTCAAATTATTTCTTATTGTTCATTAATGTCCTTTTCTTTCATATTGAAGAACTCTTTAGCATTTCCTGTAGGACAAGTCTGGTATTAATGAAATCCTTGTTTTGTTTGTCTGGTAAAATCTTTATTTCTCCTTCATGTTTAAATAATATTTTTGCTAGATATAATATTCTAGGATCAGAGTGTTTTTCTTCAGCACATTAAATATATCATGCCACTCTTTCATGGTGTGTAAAGTTTCCACTGAGAAATTTGCTGCCAGATATATTAGAACTTATTTATATGTTATTTGTTTCTTTTCTCTTACTGTTTTTAGGATACTTTCTTTATCCTTGACCTTTGGACATTTGATTTTAAATGTCTTGAGGTAATCTTATTTGTGCTATATCTGCTTGGTGTTCTATAACCTTCTTGTACTGGAATATTGATGTATTTCTCTAGGTTTGGAAAGTTCTTAGTTATTATCCTTTTAACGAAATTTTCTACCCCAATCTCTCTCTGTCTCCTGTTTAAGGCAATAACTCTTAGATTTGTCCTTTTTAGGCTATTTTCTAGATCCTGTAGGGATACTTTAAATACTTGTTTTCTTTTGTCTCCTTGACTGTGTATTTTCAAATAGCCTGTCTTTAAACTCACTAATTTTTTCTTTGCTTGATCAGTTCTGCTATTGAGAGACTCTGATGCGTTCTTAAGTTTGTCAAATGCAGTTTTCAGCTAGAGAATTTCTGCTATATTCTTTTAAATTATTTCAATCTCTTTGTTAAGTTTATCTGATGGGATTCTGAATTTTTTCTTTGTGCTATCTTGGATTTTGTTATCTTTCTAAAAACAGCTATTTTGAATTATCTGTCTTAAAGGCCACATATCTCTATAATTTCAGAACTGGTCACAGTGCCTATTTGTTTCATCTGGTGATGTCATATATATATATATATATATATATATATATTTTTTTTTTTTTTTTTTTTTTTTTTTTTTTGAATGGTCTACGTGATTGTGGTTGTTAATTAATTTCTAGTTAATGAAAAGTTTGGTATTTATTCTAATCTTTGGAGTCTGGGCTTATTTGTACACATCCTTCTCGAGAAAGCTTTCCAAGTATTCGAAGGGAATTGAGTGTTGTGATCTAAGTCTTTGGTCACTGCAGCATTAAGGGGCATATGCATTAGAGGGCATCCCAAGCCCAGTAATGCTGTAACTTTTTTGGAGTTCTAGAAGTACTTCTTTGGTATTTTTGGTTAAGATACAGGTGAACACCCCAGATTACCAGGAAGAATCTCTTGTTTTCTTCCCTTATCCCCCCAACCTCCCGCCCTCAACAAATGGAGTCTCTCCCTCTGTGCTGTGATGCCTGGAGTTGGGGTAGGGGTGACACAAGCTCTCCTATGGCCACCACCTCTGGGACTGTGCTGGGTCACACCTGAAGCCAGCACAATATTGTGTTTCACCCAAGGCCTGCGGCAGCGTGTTCCCTTATGGCTTCCGGCAGGTCTAGAAAGTCCTTCCAGTAGCAAAGGCCTGGCATCAGGGACTTTAGGAATCTCCCGTTTGTCTTATTTTACTGTGGCTTAGCTGGAACCGTAATTTTAAGAAAAAGTTCTTCGTACTTTTCCTGCCCTTTTTCTTAAGCAGAAAGGGTCCCTTCCTGTGGCCACCACAGTTGGAAATGTGTGAGGTTATACCTGAAGCCAGCCCAATACTGGGTCTTGTCCAAGGCCCATAGTTACTGTTGCCTATCACTGATGTTTATTCAAGGCCCAAGGGCTCTTTCATACCAGGTGGTGAATTCTGCCAAGACTGGGTTTTTTTTTCTTTTTTTTTTTTTGCCTTTAGGATGTGGGTTCCCTTCTGGCCCAGGGTGGGTCTAGAAATGTTTTCTGAGAGCTATAGCCTGGAATGGGGTCTTCAGGGCCCTGCTTGCTGTTTTGTTATACTGTGGCTGAACCAGTATGAAAGCTCCAAGATAAAAATCCTCTTTACTCTTTTCTCTCCTCACAGAGCTGTGAGCTGTGCTGCCTGAAGTTTGGATAGGGGTGACACAATTACTCCCTTGGTCATCTCAGCTGGTGTCTCACTAGTTTGCATGCACCTCAAGTCCACTCTTTCTAAGCTCAGTTCAGCGACAGGACATGCCTCGGAATTTCAGTCTTCGTGATCTACACTACCTTTCAAGTTTACTTAGGACTTCAGAGTACTTTAGCCCATAGTGGTCGGGTTAGCCAGAACTCAACTTCTTACTAACAGGATGGACAATTCCCCTCTGGCCAGGGCTGATTTAAGTGCTCCCTCCATGGGCACCAGCTGAATTCTGCATTGTGTTGCTTTCCGCTGTGACAAGGTAGCACTGAGTTCCCAAGGAAAATCCCACAACCGCTGCACTTTTCCTCCTCCAAGCACACAGATCTCTCTTTATGCCAAGCTGCTCTGTGGGGAGTTGGAGGTTGGCAGTTCAAGACTGTCCTTGATCCCTTTTTAGGGCCTATTTCCTTGATATGATATTAAAGCTAGGTACTGTGACCACTCACCTGAGTTTTGGTTCTTATGAAAGTACTCTCTTGTGTGGATGATTGTTTAATTTTGTGCTCCAGCTGGAGGAGGGGAATGATCACTGGAAGGTTCTATTCAGCCATCTTGCTCCACCTCCTATAAGTTTTTAGCATCTTTCTCTTTACCTGTGCAATCATTCTCTAGGTAGGACAAGGTACTCACCTGGACTCTAGCAATACTCTACAGATTTCTTTGCATTGGTCTCCCTAAGTCCTTCATGGTCAGATGTGGAAATTAAACACATGTAGCTTTAATTCATTCTCATAGCTACAAAGCATTCTATAATATAGATGTATAATAATTTAATTAATTCTTAACTTATTGAAAGATGTCTAGATTTTTAAAAATTATTATAATACTTTAGGTTCTAGGGTACATGTGCACAACGTGCAGGTTTGTTACATAGGTATACATGTGCCATGTTGGTTTGCTGCACCAATCAACTCGTCATTTACATTAGGTATTTCTCCTAACGCTATCTGTCCCCCAGCCCCCCAGCTCCCAACAGGCCCTGGTGTGGGATGTTCCCCTCCTTATCTCCATGTGTTCTCATTGTTCACCTCCCACTTATGAGTGAGAACATGTGGTGTTTGGTTTTCTGTCCTTGTGATAGTTTATTGAGAGTGATGGTTTCCAGCCTCATCCATGTCGCTGCAAAGGACATGAACTCATCCATTTTTATGGCTGCATAGTATTCCATGGTGTATATGTGCCACCTTTTCTTTATCCAGTCTATAATTGATGGGCATTTTGATTGGTTCCAAGTCTTTGCTATTGTGAATAGTGCCACAATAAACATATGTGTGCATGTGTCTTTATAGTAGCATGATTTATAATACTTTGGGTATATAACCAGTAATGGGATCACTGGTTCAAATAGTATTTCTAGTTCTAGATCCTTGAGGAATCACCACACTGTCTTCCACAATGGTTGAACTAATTTACACTCCTACCAACAGTGTAAAAGCATTCCTATTTCTCCACATCCTCTCCAGCATCTGTTGCTGCCTGACTTTTTAATGATCGCCATTCTAACTGGTGTGAGATGGTATCTCATTGTGGTTTTGATTTGCATTTCTCTAATGACCAGTGATGATGAGCATTTTTCATAAGTCTGTTGGTTGCATAAATGTCTTCTTTTAAGAAATGTCTGTTCATATCCTTTGCCCATTTTTTGATGGGGCTGTTTGTTTTCTTCTTGTAAATTTGTTTAAGTTCTTTGTAGATTCTGGATATTAGTCCTTTGTCGGACGGATTGATTGCAAAAATTTTCTCCCATTCTGTAGGTTGCCTGTTCACTCTGAAGATAGTTTCTTTTGCAGTGCAGAAGCTCTTTAGTTTAATTAGATCCCATTTGTCTATTTTGGCTTTTGTTGCCATTGCTTTTGGTGTTTTAGTCATGAAGTCCTTGCCCATGCCTATGTCCTGAGTGGTACTGCCTAGGTTTTCTTCTAGTGATTTTGTGATTTTAGGTCTTACATTTAAGTCTTTAATCCATCTTCAGTCAATTTTTGTGTAGATTTTTAACATCTCCACGAGAAATAAATAACTTTGTCAATTCCACTTCTATAGGATAGATTTCTAAAAGTTTATTTGCTGTGCTAGAGACGGGTGAGTGAGAGAGAGAGAGAAAAAAAAATTGAAATTTAGAAAAAGGTTGAAAATACAAATTGCTTAGGCTAAGTTGCTGAAATCATGTCTGTATATTCCCAAATACTTAACCTTATATTTCCTACAAAGAGGGTCATTCTCCTTACATAACTAAAATATAATTATTGGTTATATTAACACTGATTCATACTATTCAATCCTGACTCAAATTTTGCCAGATGTTACAATAATGTTCTTCACAGCAAAACAATCCAGTTCAGACTCCTACTCTGAATTTAGTTATCAGTCTTTTTTACTTCATTTTTGAACAGTTCCTAAGATGTTTTTTGATATTCCTGAAGATTTTAATTCCATTAGCCAGCCAACATTTCTGCACAAGCTGAGCAATTTGGATGTTAATATTTTAAAAAGAATTGTTTTTCCACAAATGAATATAAAGTGACATCTCTGCTGTTTTATTTGCATTTTATTAACTAGTAATGAAGTTGAGCACGTTTTCTCAAGTTTTTGGTGATTTGCATTTTCTCTTATCTATTTTTCTGTCAGATTATTTTTATATTTTATAAGCACTTAGAAAATTAATCATGTATGCTGCAAAAATTATTGTTCTGTATTTTTCTCTGGACTCTGCTTATGGTGTAAAACTATAACTCAAGATATTTGCGTTGTTAAATCTATCAGTCTTTCCTTTCAGATTTAGTATCTTGCTAAAAGACTTCATCTGAAGGCTTGCAAATGTTCTTTTACACATTATTTTAATATTTTTAATTATTTTATATTTAGATTTTAATGTATCTAGAAATTAATTTTATGTAATATGAAGCAGTGTCTTAATTTTTGTTTATTTTAGAGAAACAGCTAATTATGCCAGTACCGTTCATTAAATAATCTATTTTTCTCCAAATTAGAATGACACTTTTGCCATATGTTTTCTACATATACTTGATTTATTTCTGGATTTTGGTTTATTTCATTGACCTATTTGCCAAACTGTGTTTACATTTTTGTTATGGTAACTTTATATTAAATTTCAATAATCTTGTACAGCAAGCCATCTTTTATGATTCTTATTTCCATTTTTTTGGTAATTTTTGCTCATTCAATTTTCCATATTATTTTAAAAATATTATTAATACTGGTAACAGCAAGTATGCCAAAATTTTATTTCTAATTAGAATAAAATTAGATCCACACATTATTTTAGGAAAGATTACATTTTAAAGATATTGTCTTTGTCTTCATTTTTATTCTTTGGCTTTGAATACCATTTTATCTAATATTAATATGACTCACCTATTTTCTTTTCCTGTTAGATATTTGTACAGCAATTTTTTTCCACTTTTAACTTCATTTAAATGTACTTCCTATACATATCTAGTAGTTGGATTTTTTTTTTAATAATTCAACCTATCATAAGGGAATTGCCATTAGCCATGTTAAACATTTTTAAATTAAAACCATCCCAAGAATGCCAAATTTTACATCCAGATGGCAGAAAATTTAAATTATAATTATTATATCTATGTAATATTAGTATTTATTCTCTTCTTGTTAATGCTGAAACTAGAAATAACACTACCCTTCAAAAAGTTAACAGAAGTGCCATGAGAATGCAACTGATAGTTCTGTCAGGTTTTGTCTGTCGGTTGAAACTTTTGTCTACTTCTTGGGTTCTTAGATGTAAAACCCTTTCAATTTGCATCTTTTAAGTTTGTAAACAGGGCATTTTTTCTGATGTTTGTTTCTGAGAATTCCTACATCATTTCTGGTTGGCGCTCTCCTCTCATACTCATATTCTTTTGTACTCCAATCCACATTCCACATTCAAAAGAGAGAGAAAATTCAGAGCTCATTAAGGAGTAACGAAGATTTAATTATTTCTGCTATAAGGTGTCAAATAGATCCAATAATGACATAACAACAAATAATATTGAGAATAATGCTCTGATTATTACACTTAGTTGACAATAGTCCTCATTCATGAAAAGAAGTGTTCATTCTAGGCTTCTCAGTTCAGATGAAATATACATATATATTTAAGAAACACATTCCAGACATATATTGCATAACAAAGTTTCAGTCAGTGATGGACCACATTTATGATGTTGGCCATAGGAGATTATAATCCAACTGAAAAATTTTTATCTCCTAGTAACATAGCAGCTGTTGTAACATCATAGGGTAATATGTTACTGGAGTGTTGGTGGTGATGCTGGTAGAAACAAACTTACTCTGCTGCCAGTAGCATAAAGGGCACAGTAATGTTCCAGGCCTTCCCATTTACTCACAACTTACTGGCTTCCCCCAGAACAACTTCCAGTCCACCAAGCTCTGTTCATGCTAAATGTCCTCTACAGGTTTATCGTGTTTACTGTATTTATACTGTATTTTTACTATTCATTTTCTATATGTAGATATTTTTAGATACACAAATACTTAGCATTATGTTGCAGTTGCCTACAGTATTCAGTAACATGTTGCATAGGTTTGCAGTCTAGGAGCAATAGGCTATCTCACATAGCCTAGATGTGTAGGAGGCTATACCATCTAGGTTTGTGTAAATACACTCTGTGATGTTCACATGATGACAAAATTGCCTAATGACAAATTTCTTAGAACATATCCTCATTGTCAAGCAATGTATGACTGTGATGTCGTCCTTTATAAATACCCTACTCGATCAGTTGTGACTTCAATACAGGATGCTCTTACAATGAAATATAAGTATTCAGGGACTAAGTGAGGCTTTTCAGCCTCCTCTAGAGAAAGATTTTTGAAAACAATGATTGCTTGGAATAATAATTTAAAACACTTTTTGCATGTGAATCAAAGTCATCATCTCATTGTTCTTGGATTCATAAGAACATAAAGGGGAAATGTGCAAATGTTTCAGATTCCAATTAGAATACAAGAATAATGGGTAGGGATTTATAAAGGATGACATTACAGGCCAGGTTTTCTTTCATTTTTACCTATTGAATTATTGATTTAGAAAAGCATTTTGTTTGCTTGTTTTTCTCCAGAAAGTCTTTGGTGTGTATATAGTAAGCCTGGACTTCTGCTAATGTTCTCATTATCTTAAATCACACTGTCATGTGTCTCCTCCAGCAGATCTGTTTTGCTGGTATTTTCTGTTTATTCTTACTGCCCTTCCTTTCTCTGGCTTTTGGGACCCTATGTAATGTTTAGGTATTTTTGTTTTCTGCTCTCTAGAGCTAAGGTTTCATGTTAGGGAATGCTAAATTACTTTTGTCTTAACAGGAGATGAAAGATGAAGCACTTGTGTCTATCCTGTGTGTCAATGATATTAAAGTAGGTAGGTTTCCACTCCTTTGATGGCATATTCAGAAGCAGCCAGTAAATCTCCCAGTTTTAGAGCCAAGGATGTCTCAGTCTATCTGTTTGTCTTTTTGTTTGTTTGTTTTGGTCTCTTGGGGGCTAAGGAGAACCAGCACATGTATGGAAACCTGATGTTGATCTTTTCTCAGGATTCCAGACATTGGTCTGAACATTTCTCTGCTGGCTCCCCTGCTTATCTCAGAGAAATCCTTTATACCAGTTCTCTCTACCAGGACCCTAACCAAGACCCCAGTCTCACTGGCACCCAGCCGCCTGTAAACTAAAAGGAGCTGTTTAATTCAGAAAGTGAAGGTAAATTGAAGTTAATATTGGAGAGGAAGAGGAAGGTAATGAGGAGTCATGTTCCAAAATCTTTCACAGAAACCTGTTACTATTGGGTAAAATCTTACATAAGAGCTTTGCTTTTTATTTGTTTTGTGTTATAATTTATTAATTTTTTTTCGTGTTTCTCAATTCAGAAAGTAGTATTACTTATGGTACCTTTTCTCTAGAGAGAAAAAAAGGTCGTATGAGTGGCTCCTTATTAGGACTTGGTCATCCTGCTACCCCCTTTATGTTAACTGAAGGCATAATAGAATAAGACATAAAGGTAGCTGGCCCTGATCAGTTATGCCCTGTCCTTTAGGCTAGAACCTCAAGCCGCCTACTGGCTCTTATTTCTGGTCTTGCACAACAATACGAAATGTTTTCTGCCCTCCTCAAAACACTCTCTTCTCTTGGCTTCTGTTTATTTCTGTTTCCTTCTATTCTTATGTCTGCTGCTTCTCATCTTTTTACCTGGTTCCTATGTATGTATCCAAATACTGTATGTTTGAGCTTCTCAACAATAGGGCATAGAGCCCTGTTCTTTCAATTCACAGGTAATCTCAATTTTTTTTTTTTTTTTTTTGTGAGATGGAGTTCCACTCTTTTGCCCAGGCTGGAGTTCAGTGGTGTGATCTCAGCTCACTGTAACCTCTGCCTCCTGGGTTCAAGCGATTCTCCTGCCTCAGCCTCCAGAGTAGCTGGGACTACAGGTGCGTGCCACCACACCCAGCTGATTTTTGTATTTTTAATAGAGATGGGGTTTCACCATGTTGGCAGGATGGTCTCGATCTCCTGACCTCGTGATCTGCCCCCCTTGGCCTCCCAAAGTGCTGGGATTGCGGGCGTGAGCCACCACATCTGACTGTAATCTCAACTTTCAAAAAAGTAAATCTGAATAGTTTTTCCAGAAAACTCTTCCTTTTTTGTCTTAACCCTCCTCATTCCTGATCCTCATTTAGAAGTTCAGTAGCCTGTTTACTTCCTCTGTGATAATTATAGGAAACTCTTTTTGCTTTAGTTTTCTCATCTGGAAGAATAGTAGAGCTTACATATTATGTAATAATATTAACCACTTTAATGCTTACTGTGAAAATTAAATGAGTACATTTAGAAGGTTTAAACAGGGGTCAATAAACTTCTTTTATAACAGGCCACAGAGATAATATTTCAGGATTTGTGAGTCATGTATAATTTGTCTCTCATATTATTCATTCTTTCTTTCCTTTTTCCCACAATCCCTTAAAAATGTAGATTTAGTTTTAGCTTATTGTCTATGTGAAAACAGAATGCTTACTGGATTTATTGTCTATGTGAAAACAGAATGCTTACTATTGCCACAGGCAATAGATTGATGACCCTTGGAACAGAGTCAGGTATATAGTAAGCGTTCAATAAATGTTAGTTATTATTATAAATTACATAGTACAGTGTTTTATGTATTATATGTTTACTTTAAAAAATATGTATCCCATTAAAATTTAAATTCTTTGAAGGAAAGGATACTGTCTGTGTTCACCAGTGATTTATCACAGTGCCTGACACATATAGGTGCCCTCTCTCTCTCTCTATATATATATATAATTCATTTTATATATTACCTATATATATCAAATAGATATAAGTATATATTATACATTATATATAAATGTATAATATTACAAATATACATTGGTAATATTAATAAAAAATTAGTGAAAAGAAGATAGATTATTCAGGTAATTCCATAAAGTTTACTTAATATATGGTATTGGTTTGGGGATGATTGATTAGTTTTTCGGGGGAAAAACTGAAAAAAAATTGATCCCAGTGTTTATTGAAAAATAAAATGCAGCTCAATCAATACGTGAAAGTTAAAAAAAAAAAAATGATAGGGGAGGTAGAGCACAGTGGCCAAATAGAAGACTCTAGCAATTGTCCTCCCAGCAGGAACACTGAAAAATTATCCACAAAAAAAGCACTTTCATTAGAACCAAAATTTAGGTGAGTGAGGGGTGATCACAGTACCTGATTTTAACATCATGTTAAAGAAAGAGAACTGAAAAGGATAGGAAAAGCAGTCTTGAATCATCTATACTACTCCTCCTCTATCCCCCAGCAAAGCAACTTGGCACAAAGAAAGAATTTGTATGCTTAGGGGAGGGAGAGTGCAGTGATGTGGAATCTTGCATTGGAACTCAAAGGTGTCCTGTCACAGTGGAAAGCAACAGGAGCTCAGCCGATGCCCATGGAGGGGGCATTTAGGCCAGCCCTAGCCAGAAGCAGATTGTCCATCCTAGTTGTCAGACCTGAGTTGTGGCAAGCCCCGCCACCACAGGCTGAAGTGCTCTGGAATCCTAAAGAAACTTGAAAGGTAGCCTACGCCACAAGGATTGCAATTCCTTGACAAGTCCTAGTGCAGAGCTGGGCTCAGAACCGGTGGACTTGGAGTGCATGTGACCTAGGGAGATACCATCTGGAGCAACTAAGGGAGTGCTTGTGTTAGCCCTCCCCCAACTCCAGGAAGTGCAGCTTACAGTTCTAAGACAGACTCTCCTCTGCTTAAGGAGAGGAGAGAGGAGAGTAGAGAGGATTTTTGCTTGCAACTTGGATACCAGCTCAGCCACAGTAGAATATGGCACCAGGTAGAGTCCTGAGGCTTCCATTCCAGGCCCTAGCTTCTGGAAAACATTTAAAACACAACCTAGACCAGAGGGAACCAACTGCGTTGAGGGGAGGGACCTAGTCCTGGCAGAATTCATCATCTTCTGCCTGAAGAAAGAGACCTTGGGCCTGTATAATCAGCAGTGGGATAGCCAGGCAGTACTTGCCACAGATCTTGAGTGAGACTTATAGCCATGCTGGCTTCAAGTGTGACCCAGTACATTACCAGCTGTGGTAGCTATAGGGAGAGATCCCTTCTGCTTGAGAAAAGGAGACAGAGAGTAAAGAAGACTTTGTCTTATAGCTTGGGTACCAGGTTGGCCACAGTGGGGTAGAGCCCGGAGTGGGTTCTTTGGGTCCCTGGTTCCAGTTATTGGCTCCTAAATGGCATTTTTGAACTTGCACTAGGGCAGAGAGGAGCCTAAAGTCCTGAAGGGAGAGACTCGTGGCTGGTGGCATTCACCACAAGCACACTGAAGAGCCCTTGGGCTTGAGTAAACATGGAGAGTTGCCAGGCAATACTTGCCTCGGGTAAAGGGTGGTGGTGGTCATGAGGAGGCACTCCTCTGCTTGAGGAAAGGGGAGAGAGGAGTGAGAAGGACTTTGTCTTGTGGCTTGGATGCCAGCTGAGCTGCAGCAAATAGAGCACTAGGTAGATTCCTAAGGTTCCTACCTCCAGGCCCTACCTCCCAGAGGAGATTCCCCAGACCCACCACGGGCTAAAGAGAGCACATTGCCTGGAAGGGAAGGACACAAGCGTGCCTGGATTTACCACCTTCTGAATGTAAAGTCTTTGGGCCTTGAGTGAACATAGGTGGTAGCCAAGCAGTGGTCGCCGTGGGCCTTGAGTGAGGGCCAGTGGTGTGCTGTCTTTGGGTATGACTCAGTGCAGTCTCAGTGGTGGTAGCTATAGGGGTGCTTGTATCATCTCTCCCCCAGCTCCAGATCAGCACAGAGACAGAAACTTTGCTTTGGGGAAAGTAAAGAAAGAGAACAAGAGTCTCTGCCAAGTAATCCAGGGAATTTTCCAATATATTACCCAAGACCATAAAGGCAGTACCTGTATGAGTCTGCAAGAGCCACAGCATTACTGGGCTTGAGATGTCCACTAAAACAGATGTGGCTGGAGTGACCAAAGACTTAGATCACAACACCCAAGTCCCTTTTGAATACCTGGAAAGCCTTCCCAAGAAGGACAGTTACAAACAAGCCTAGATTGAGAAAACTATAATAAATACCCAAATCTTCAATGTCCAGACACTGGTGAACAACCAAAAGCATCAAGATTATCCAGGAAAATATGATCTCATCAAACAAACTAAATAAGGCACCAGTGACCAATCTTAGAGAGACAGAGATATATGACCTTTCAGACAAAGCCTTCAAAGTAGATGTTTTGAGGAAGATAAACAAAATCCAAGATAACAAGAAGAAGAAATTTAGATTCTATCAAAAAATTAAGAAAGAGATTGAAATAATATAAAATAACCAAGCAGAAATTCTGGAGCTGAAAGATGCAATTGACATACTGAAGAAAGCATTGGAGTATCCTAACAGCGGAATAGATCAAGCAGAAGAAAAAATTAGTGAGCTTGAAGACAGGTTATTTGAAAATACACAGTCAGAGGAAACAAATAAACAAAAGGAATACAAAATAATAAAGCATTCCTACAAGATCGAGAAAATACCCTTAAAAGGGCAAATATGAGTCATTGTCTTTAAGGAGGAGACAGGGAAAAAGAGAGAGAGAGAGACACAGAGAGAGAAACATTGTGGTAGAAAGTTCATTCCAAGGGATAATAGAGAACTTTCCAAACCTAGAAAAAGATATCAATATTCAATTACAAGAAGCTTATAGAACACCAAGCAGATATAACACAGATAAGACTGCCTCAGGACATTTAATAATCAAACTCCTAAAGATCAAGGGTAAAGAAAGTGTTCTAAAAGCAGCAATAGAAAGAAACATGTAACATACAAAGGAACTCCAATATATCTGGCAACAAACTTCTCAGTGGAAACTTTACAGGCCAGGAGAGTGGCATGACATATTTCAATTTCTGGAGGAGCAAAACTTTTATCCTAGAATAGTATATCTGTTGAAAATATACTCCAAACACAAAGAAAAAACAGATGTTTCCAGACAAATAAATGCTTAAGAATTTAGTTAACACCAAACCTGTTCTACATGAAATTCTAAAGGGAGTTCTTCAGTCTGAAAGAAAAATATGGTAGTGAGCAATAAGAAATCATCTGAAGGTACATAACTCACTGGTAATATCAGGTATATAGAAAAACTCAGAATATTATAATACTGTAATTGTGGTGTGTAAAGTTCTCATCTCTTGCAGGAAGACTAAAACATGAACCTATCAAAAATAATAAGTATGACAACTTTTCCAGACATAGACAGTATAATAAGATATAAAGAGAAACAACAAGTTAAAAGTTGAGGGGATGAAGTTAAAGTGTAGAGTTTTTATTAGTTTTCTATTTGCTTGTTTGGTAGTTTGCTTCTTTATGAAATCAATGTTAAATTGTCATCAATTTAAAAAATGTATTATAAGATGTTATTTGCAACCTTCATGGCAACTTCACATTAAAAAACCTCCAGCAGATAAAGAAAAAATAAAAAGCAAGAAATTAAAATATACTATATGAGAAAATCATCTTCACACAAAGGAAGACAGGAAGGAAGGAAAGAAGAAAACTAAGATGACAAAACAACCAGGAAGCAAATTTTAAAATGGCAGAAATAAGTTCCTATTCCTGTCAATTCTTGTCAATAATACCACTGACTGTAAATGGACTAAACTCTCTAAATCAAAAAATATAAAATGACTGAAGGGATTAAAATAAAAACCAAGACCCAATGATCTGTTGTCCACAAGGAACACAATTCATCTATAAAGACACACAGACTGAAAATAAAGGGATGGAAAAAGATATTCCATGCAAATGGAAACCAAAAAAGAGCAAAAATAGCTGTATTTATATCAGATAAAATAGATTTCAAAAGTATAAAAAAAAGATCATTATACAATAATAAAGGTTTTCATTCCACAAAAGGATATAACAATTATAAATATATATGCACCCAATGCTGGAGTACCCAGATATATACAACAAATATTATTAGAGCTAAAGAGAGAAATAGGCCCAAATACAATAAAAGCTAGAGACTTAACACCCTACTCTCAGCATTGGACAGATCATCCAGACAGAAAATCAAGAAACATCTAACTTAATATGCACTATAAACCAAATGGATCTAATAGATATATAAAAACATTTTATCAAATGGTTGCAGAATACGCATTCTTCTCAGCACATGGATCATTCTCAAGGAAAAATAATATGTTAGGCTACAAAACAGGTTTTACAAAATTTTTAAAAAATGAAATTATATCAAGTATCTTGTCTGACTGCAACGAAATAAAACTAGAAATAACAGTAAGAATTTTGGAAACTAAAAAGACATGGAAATGAAACCGTACGTTCCAGAATGACCAGTAGGTTTATAAATAGATTAAGAGGGAAACTAAAACATTTATTAAAACAAATGAAAATGGAAATGCCATGTACCAGAACCTATTGGATACGGCAAAAGCAGCAACAAGAGAAAAGTTTACAGCAATAATTTCCTACATCAAAAAGTAGAAAAGATTCAAATAAACAACATTGGGATGCATCTCAAATAACTAGAAAAGTAAAAGAAAACCAAACTCAAAATAAGTAGAAAAAAAAATAAAGATCAGAGCAGAAATAAGTGAAATTGAGATTAAAAAAAAACACAAAAGATTGATTACAGTTGGCCATTTAACAATATATAGATTCAAAGCTACTCACGTTAAATTAACAATGACTTTCTCCACAGAATTATTTTAAAAATCTATGTAAAAATTCATATGGAACCAAAAAAGAGCCCAAATAGCCAAAGCACTTCTAAGCAAAAAGATCAAAGCTGGAGGCATCATCTTGCTCAACTTCAAACTATACTAAAAGGCTACAGTAACTAAAATAGCATGGTACTGGTACAAATCAGACACATAGATGAATGGAACATAATGGAGAGCCCATACATAATGCTGCAACCTACAACCATCTGATCTTTGAAAAGTTGACCCAAAACAAGCAATGGGGAAAGGGCTACCTGTTAAATAAATGGTGCTGAGATAACTGGCTAGCCATATGCGGAAGATAGAAACTAAACCTTTTCCTTACACCATATACAAAAATCAAGTCAAGATGGATTAAAGTATTAAATGTAAAACCTAAAACTATAAAAACTCTGGAAAATAACCTAGGAAATACCATTCTGGGCATAGGCCTTGGCAACAATTTTATGATAAAATCTCCAAAAGCAATCATAACAAAAACAAAAATTGACAAAAGGGACCTAATTGAACTAAAAAGTTTCTGCACAGTGAAATAAACTATCAACAGAGTAAGCAGACAACCTACAGAATGGGAGAAAATATTTGCAAACCATGCATTTGACAAAGGTCTAATATCAAGAATCTATACGTCACTTAAACAAATTAACAAGCAAAAAGCAAACAATCCCATTAAAAAGTGGGCAAAGGTTGTGAGCAGTCACTTCTCAAAAGAAGACATACACGTGGCCAAGAAGCGTATGGAAAAGTGTTCAACATCACTAATCATTAGAGAAATGTAAATCAAAACAACAAGATACCATCTCACATCAGTCAGAATAGCTATTATTAAAAAGTCAAAAAATAACAGATGCTAGTAAGGTTGCAGAGAAAAAGAAATGGTTATACACTGCTGGTGAGAATATAAATTAGTTCAGCCACTGTGGGAAGCAGTGTGGTGCTTTCTCAAGGAACTTATATCAGTATTAGCATTCAGCCCAACAATGCCATTGCTGGGTACATATTCAAAGGAATATAATTATTCAACTATAAAAAAATGCATGCATATGTTCATTGAAGCACTATTCACAATAGCCAAGACATAGAATCAACCTAAACTGTGGTACATATATATCACAGAATACTGTGCAGCCATATAAAAGAACAAGGTTATCTCTTTTGTATCAACATGGATGGAACTGCAGGCCATTATCTTAAGTGAAATAACAAAGGAACGGAAAACCAAATACCACATATTCTCGCTTATTAATGGGAGCTAAAGACAAAGAATACATGGACACAAAAAAGGAAACTACAAACACTTGGGCCTTCTTGAGGGTGGACAGTAGGAGGAGGAAGAGGATTAAAAAAATACCTATTGGGTACTATGCTTATTACCTAGTTGATGAAATAATCTGTACACCAAACCCCTGTGACATGCAATTTACCTATATAACAAACCTGCACATGTACCGCTGAAGCTAAAATCAATGAAGTTTAAAAACTGCATTGGTTGTAGTGTACTGTTCTATGGGTTTTGAGAAACCCATAGAATCATGTATTTATATACATGGAATATAGAATAATATAAAAATATATATATAACAGTGTGATTGGAATGTTTGTAACATAAAACAAGATAAATGTTTGAGGCGATGGAAATCCCATTTACTCTGATGTGATTGTTACACACTACATGCCTGCATAAAATATTTCATGTTCCCTATAAATATATACACCCACTATGTATTCATAAAAATTAAGAATAAAATTTTTTTAAAAAGCAGTGGGCTGCATGATATATACAGACTACTTACATTTTTTAAAAGTTATTCATTATTTTATCAGTTTGGAAACTTTATTGGCTAAATTTTTCTTTTCTTGGGAGAAAGTTTTGGGGGAGGGCACCTGAGTGAGTAGGAGACTGACTTTCACATTTATGTTACTTAATTTTTTTTTTACCATGTTAATGTTATTTCTTGAATATAAATAGAAAAAAAGTAAAGCAGTATATTTCCTAAGTACTATTTATAAATTAGAAGAACAGACTAAGCATTTTTAAAATTCTGGCATAGCTAGTTCTTATGGAAACTTTCTTGATATCATTGAAAAGCTCGAAGTTCTCAGCATCATTCTTCTCATTCTGCCACTTGCTAATTTGTTATTTCCAAAGGGTTTCTAGCAGATGATTTTTCTCTAGAAGTTTCTTTTTTGTTTCTGTCTCTATTTTTGCCTTTAAGTGTGTCTTTGTTTCTGTAATTTGATTTTCAACAATATTTAAAATGTATAATTATGTTAAACTTCTGTGAGAATAAGAGGGTATGATAGGTGAAACAAACTCATGTAGAAACAACTTGAATTTTGAGTTTTTCTTCTTTTACCAATTTAATTATTCAATTATCTCTTTATTGCTCTGAAATTGCCTGAAATTTGGCAAATGCTGTGCCAGGATCTTTGTTTAACATAATAAGTCTTGTTTAGTTTTCTCCTTTTACTCTGCATCACCTTGAAAAGGAGATTTAAAGAGTAAAAATTAAATTAAATAATTTCAATTTTTCTTTACCCTATAAAATTCACCATTGATAAAGTTTAGATATACGTTCCCTCATGTTGAAATGTTCCCATGTTCAACATGTCCATCTCATGTTGAAATTGGATCCCCAGTGTTGGAGGTGTGCCCATATAGGAGGTGTTTGGGTCATAGGGGAAGATTCCTCATGAATGTCTTGGTGCCATCCTCAAGGTAGTGAGTGATTTCTCACTGCTAGTTCCCAAGCAAACTCATTGTTAAGAAGAGCCTGGCACCTCCTCCTCTCTCTTGCCTCCTCTCTTGACATGTGATACGCTGGCATTCCTTTACCTTCTGCTGTGAGTGGAAACAGTCTGGGGCCCTCACCAGGAGCAGATGCTGGTGCCATGCTTCTTGTTCAGTGTGCAGAACCATGTGCCAAGTAAACTTCTTTTCTTTTTAGATCACCCAGTCTCAGGTATTACTGTATAGCAACACAAATCAACTAAGACAATAATCAATTCCCATTTTCTTCCACTGTTGTAAACCAAACTGACTACTATTCTTCTTATACATCTGATTTTGAAATCTGTACAAAATTCTTTCTGTATTTCAGTTGATAAACATTTGTTGACCAAATTATGCAATTAATATTAAGTATTTTGAAATTAAAAATTAAAATAAGCAAATAGCTAAAAATCAAGGTAGAGTTATTGCTAGCAATAATAAATAAACAATAAACTAATAACCAAAATAACTAAAATTTATTGAGTTCTGTTGCATAGGTATTCTCCTAAAACCTCCACATTCATTATTATTATACACATGCGTGTATAATTCAAATACGTGCCTCGAAGAAAAAGTCATTTTTAGAAGTATCACATAAAAGCTACTGGTATAATATTCTGGTAGATATGATGCATCTCCATGACTTTAATAATTTTACATGTGAAAAAACAAAGCTGGGGAGATGTAAATATTTACAATATTGGGGGCAATAACTTGCCTCAAATTATTCAACTACTTAGGGAGTAAATTTGGATTAAAATTTATTTTGTCTCCAGAACTCACATGCTAACCACTACTTTTTGCTTTTTTCAAACAATCAATGGACTATATTGAGCATTTACTATACAATAGACACTATTCTAAGCACTTTGATGTGTTAATTTACTTAATCCTAACAATGGTCCTGTGAAGCTGCTATTGTTGCCATTTTACAGAAGAAAACAAGATATGCAAGGAGAAGATGGTAATTTATTTTATTTTGTTTAATTTTCATGTTTATTTTAGTTTTCGGGTGGGTACATGTGCAGGTTTGTTATAAGGGTATATTGTGTGGTGCTGCAGTTTGGGCTTCCATTGATCCTGTCGACCAGATAATGAACATAGTACTCAATAGGATGTTTTTCAGTCCTTGCTCCCCTGCCTTTCTCCCTCCTTTTAGTGTCTATTATTCTCATATTTATGACTGTGTGAACCTAATGTTTAGCTCCCACTTATAAGTGAGAACATGGAATATTTGGTTTTCTGTTTCTGCATTAATTCACTTAGGATAACAGCCTCCAGCAGCATCTATGTTGCTGGAAAGGACGTGATTTTATTCTTTTTTATTACTCTAGTATTTCATGGTGTGTGTTTATACCATTTTCTTTATCCAAGCCACCATTCATGGACATGTAGGATGAGTCCATGTCTTTTCTTTTTTTTTTTTTTCTTTTTTTCTGAGAGGGAGTCTCACTCTGTCACCCAAGCTGGAGCGCAATGGTGCAGTCTCGGCTCACTGAAACTTCCGCCTCCCAGATCCAAGAGATTCTCCTGCCTCAGACTCCCAAGTAGCTGGGACTACAGGTGTGTGCCACCACAGCTGGCAAATTTTTGTATTTTTAGTAGAGACGGGGTTTCACTATGTTGGCCAGGCTGGTCTCAAACTCTTGACCTCAAGATCCACCCACCTGGGCCTCCCAAAGGGCTGGGATTACAGATGTGAGCTACCATGCCCTGCCGAGTCCATGTCTTTTCTGTTGTGAATAGTGCTGTGATGAACATACATTTTCATGTGTCTTTTTTGGTAGAACATTTTTTTTCCTTTGGATATATACCCAGTAATGGGATTGGTGGGTGGAAAGATAATTATATTTTTAGTTATTTGAGAAATCTCCAAACTGCTTTCCTCAGGCTCTAAACTAATTTGCATTCACACCTGCAATGTATAAGCATTCTTTTTTTCTCCACATCCTTGCCTACATGTTATTTTTTGAGTTTTAGTAATAACCATTCCCACTGGTCTGAGATGATATCTCATTGTGATTTTGATTTGCATTTCTCTGATTATTAGTGATGCTGAGCATTTTTTCATATATTTGTTGGCCACTTGTATGTCTAATTTCAAGAAGTGTCTGTTCATGTCTTTGCCTACTTTTTAAAAAAGGTTGTTTCTTTTTACTTGTTGATTAAGTTCCTTGTATATTATGGATATTCACCCTTTGTGGGATGCATAGTTTGCAAATATTTTCTACCAGTCTGTAGGTTGCCTGTTTACTTTGTTGAGTTTCTTTTGCTGTGGAGAAGCTCTTCAGTTTTAAGTCCCATTTGTCTATTTTTATTTTGCTGCATTTTCTTTTGGGACATTCATCATAAATTCTTTGCTTATGCCAATAGCTATGGCTATTTCCTAGGTTTTCTTTTAGAAGTTTTATAGTTTTGGGGATCACATATAAGTCTTTAATCCATCATGAGATAATTTTTGTATATAGTAAGAGGTAGGGTCTAGTTTCATTCTTTTGCACATGTTTAGCCAGTTTTCCCAGCACCATTTATCAAATAGGGTTCCTTTCTCCATTGTTTATCTTTGTCAACTTTGTCAATGATGAGTTGGTAGTAGGTGTCAGGATTTATTTCAGTGATCTTTATTTTGTCGCATTCATCTATATGTCTATTTTTGTACTAGTATCATGCTGTTTTGGTTACTATAGCCTTATGTTATAGTTAGAAGTTGGGTAACATGATGCCTCTGGCTTTGTTATTTTCACCTAGAATTGCCTTGGCTGTTTGGGCTCTTTTTTAGTTCCACATAAATTTTAGAAGTTTTCTCTAACTCTGTAAAAAATGATTTTGGGAATTTGACAGGAATAGTGTTGACTCTGTAGATTCCTTGTGTCAGTTGGGCATTTTAACGATATTGATTCTTCCAACCGAAGAGGAAGAAATGCTTTTCTATTTTTGTGTGTGTGTGCGTATTGTATGATTTCTTTCAATGTTTCGTAGTTCACCTCATACAGATTGTTCACCTCATTTTTTAGATGTATTCTTAGGTATTGTATTTTCATGTGTGGCTGTTGTAAATGGGATTGCATTCTTGATTTTGTTCTCAGCTTGAACATTGGTGTGTACAAATGGTACTGATTATTGTATGTTGATTTTGTATCCTGAGACTTTATTGAAGTCATTTATCAGGTCTAAGAGTCTTTTGCTGGAATTTTTAGGGTTTTCTAGGTATGTAATCATATCGTTAGTGAGGAGAGATTATCTGACTTTCTCTTTTTCTATTTGGATGACACCTACTTATCAAAACTAGAAAATTTAGAGACTTTAAAATTTCACACTCATCATCTTCCCCAATGCTTAATTTATTTACAAAATTCTACTTATTTTACTTACTATATCTTTCTGAATCCACCTGCTCTTTTGCTTATCTTCTGCCATTGCTTTCATATAAGCTTCCACCCTCATCCTCTCTACTGCCTTTTTCCTATTTTTTAGCTTTACTCATTCTTCAAATACCAGTTTACATATCATTTTTTTCTGTGATGATTTCACTGATCTTTCTAGGTGTAATCAGTCACTTCTTTCTCCGTGCTGTTATAATTACTATGTTTCGAAAATGTGTTCTGTTTATGTGTCTATCTGCACTAGTAGCCATTCTGTTCCTCAGAAAGAGAAATGATGCATTATTTATTTTTCCCATAGCATAGCTATAGTGTTTGGCACGTGGTAAGGCCCAAAAATATTGAATGAATAAATCAAGATTGGAATGGAAGGGAATGCATTGGCTAGTTGGATGTGCGGTTGTAGAGCTTAGGATAAAGAGCTCACATCTGACTCATCAGCAAATCTTTGGTTATCTTAAAAATGCAACCAGAATTCAACCATTTCCCAATACCTACACTACTTAGTCACTATAATTTCTTGACTGTTTTATGCAATAGCCTCCCAATCCCTCATATTGTTTCTTAATCTTTCTCCATTCAGTTGGCTCTGCCTGGATGCACTACTGATTATCCACATGGTTTGTTCCCTCTTAACACCTTTAGATCTGGACTAACGTTACATTTTCATTTTTCATAAACTGTACTTATATCTATGCCACATCTATATATATCACCTGTATTTATATGTAAATACACTTTTTAATATAATATTAAATGATTATTGACAAAACATTAAATAATATTTATAAACTAAGTCAGATTTTTGTTTATTTCCCATACCATCAGAATATACTGTGAGAAAAGGTTTATTACTATTTTATGCAGGCCTAAGATATTGTATAATATATAACAAGTCCTCAATAAATATTTCTTTTAGGAATAATTGTTTAAAAATTCTAAGACTATTTAAAAATAAAAATAACTTGAAAACAGAAATCATATATATATATAAATCTACTTATATTTAACAACATGGAATATGGGTAACACTGACCAGCTAGATCGAGGATAATAAATTGGTCTCTAGTTATTTATTTTATAGGTGATTATGGGACCAAGAGTGTGAATGTTCTCTCTATTTGTCATGCTGGGGAAGAAAATGGGATGAGCCTTGAGACTAAGGAGAGAATTGCTTTTTGCAGAATTGGGAGCCAGACAGGGATGTCAGGAATATGGCTTTGCTAGGGTTTGGAAGAGAGCATATATGTATGATCTGTTACTGGTAGGAACAGCTTGGACTTGGAATATGTGAATGCACATCTATGATGCTCACAAGGGTGACAACAGTGGCAGGGAAACAGCTTAATTTGGCTATCTTTGAGTTGCAATCCCATTACTTAGTTGTTCAGGGACTGTGATTCTTATGACATAGGTGAAGTAACCTCTCTTCTTAAGTCCCAGAGAAAGATGGTTCTGTCCAGCATGAGGTTGGTCCTGTAGCTACTCCGCATTCAGCCTCCCTGAACACCATGAGTGAATTTTTGAAATAGTTTCTTATGTGTGCCTGTGTGTCCGTCTTATGTGTGCTTATGTGCAGGGATTGTGTTCCTATAAAGTAATAGCATGTGATCAACCGTGACCAAACAAAGTACTAGAAAAGATAGATTTCTTCTCCCCTCCCTCCTATACCTATCCACAGCCCCTTAAATAAACTGTTGGTTGACCAGTAATAGTGGTGCTGCCTTAGACACTACAGAGCACAGGGTCTTCCAGTTGCAATTGTGTGAAGGAGCTTAGCAATATTAGTGATGAGCACAAGGTTTCTATGTGGCCTGAACAGGCTTTCCAGATAATTTTTTCCTGAATGTAATAATAAACAAGGCTGAAACTTTATTAGATAGAAAGCATCCTCACAGAACTGAGAGTCTTAAGGAGGAATTACAAAGTGGCTCTTGAGGTGGGTAGGATGAGGACTCTGTGCAACTTAATTACAATATTAAATGGAAAGAGACCTCATTTTGTAATTCAAGCTGATAAAACAAGACAGATCAGGAACAGAAATAAATAATGACAATAAAAAATGGGTGGAAAGAAATTATTCAATAATGATAAATCAGGAATTAATAAATTAGACAGCTACCATACCAATAAAAATTCTCATTGAATTGATATATAAGTGCTTCTTCTTTTAGAGGAAAACAATAAATAGATGAATCACTAGGTTAACTGAACAAGAAGAAAGAAGATTCATAAACACACAAAATTAGCCATTATAAAGGAAAAATAATATTATAAACAGTAATTAAAAATAGAGAATCCTTTACATAAGCAGCATAACACTAATTCCTGAAACTGACAGAGAGCATCAGAAGTCAGTCCCACTAATATTTGCTCATATTTCTTGAGTATGTACTTTTTGCTAGAATCTGTTATTAATGAGGCTTACATATATTAATTCATTTAATTTTCATAAACCATGAGCTCATGACTGTAATTTTTCTCCATTTACAGATAGAGAAAAATGAAGAGCAGAGGATATGAAGTTACATAGCTAGTTATGGTAGAGCCATAATTTGAACTTAGAAACTCAGATGCTAATGTCTGGGCTATTAACCACTATGCCATAGTGCCTCCCTACTAGAAAATATGACAAAATGCTAATAATTAGCAAAGAGAATCCAAAAGTACATAAAAAGCTTAGTACAATGTATTTGTATTTAGTTCAATACAGAAATGTAGAATGATTTAATAATAATGCATCTATAACAAAAAGATACTGAAGTTGAAAAATGTTTTAAGTATTTTATTGATGTCAAAAGTGCATGTAATAACACTGAAATTTTACTCCTGACAAAAGTTATTAAAAACTATGTTTTCCAAAATATATATAGATATATATGTTTCTATTTACTATTTTAAATATTTTAACCTTACACACACACACACACACACACACACACACACACACCCCACTGGGGAAATATTGATGGAATAATAAATTTTAAAAACACAGAAGTTGTCAATACTACTATTTTTATTTAACTTTTTTTCTTGAAATGCTAGCTATTGCCAATAGATAAGATCACTAAAAGTTATAGGCATTGGAAAGGAGGATTCAGTAATGTTATTTGTTTGTGACAAAATACACAGAATAAGTAAATAATACGCTAAAAACTATGAGTTTAGTATGGCGGCTGCATATACAATAAATATATGTCAATAAATTTTTAATACGCCTACAACAACTATTATAAACTGTGATATAAAATTACAAAGTAGAACAATAGCAAATATCACAATAAGAACATACGTAACACAATTAGAAGATAATCTGCAGAAAATTTTAAAATGAACTGAAAAACATAAAAGAAGGTAAATAAAGGGAACAACATTCCTCATCCTTCTAAAGAGTCTCTATATAAATTCAATTCAATCCTTGGGTCATCTGTAGATGGAGAGAAGTGTGAAGGAGTAGAAGTGGGTGGTGGTAGAATTGGATCAGTGATTCTAAGCAACAGTTAAAATTATAGCCATGAAAGAGATTTTTAAAAGAATTCTAATGAGGAAGAATTTGGAATAGAAGATATTAATATAAAGTCTTAAATAATAAAAATTAAAATGCTCAAATAGTCATATAAGAACAGCCACCAAATTAATTGATTAGAATGAATATTAGAAACAGAAAAATACATATTATAATTTATATAAGATAAAAATATAGAAGTCACAATTCAAATCATTGAAGTAGAATTGCATTATTTAATCATATGTGGAAAACTAGTCAGATATGTTTAATAAAAACTAAATTTCTAACCTCCTTTGTTAGAAAAAAATAATTTTAAATAATACCACACATCTACAACTATCTGATCTTTGACAAACCTGAGAAAAACAAGAAATGGGGAAACGATTCCCTATTTAATAAATGGTGCTGGGAAAACTGGCTAGCCATATGTAGAAAGCTGAAACTGGATCCCTTCCTTACACCTTATACAAAAATTAATTCAAGATGGATTAAAGACTTAAATGTTAGACCTACAGCCATAAAAACCCTAGAAGAAAACCTAGGCAATACCATTCAGGACATAGGCATGGGCAAGGACTTCATGTCTAAAACACCAAAAGCAATGGCAACAAAAGCCAAAATTGACAAATGGGATCTAATTAAACTAAAGAGCTTCTGCACAGCAAAAGAAACTACCATCAGAGTGAACAGGCAACCTACAGAATGGGAGAAAATTTTTGCAATCAACTCATCTGACAAAAGGCTAATATCAAGAATCTACAAAGAACTCAAACAAATTTACAAGAAAAAAACAAACAACCCCATCAAAAAGTGGGCGAAGGACATGAACAGACACTTCTCAAAAGAAGACATTTATGCAGCCAAAAGACACATGAAAAAATGCTCATCATCACTGGCCATCAGAGAAATGCAAATCAAAACCACAATGAGATATCATCTCACACCAGTTAGAATGGCGATCATTCAAAAGTCAGGAAACAACAGGTGCTGGAGAGGATTTGGAGAAATAAGAACACTTTTACACTGTTGATGAGACTGTAAACTAGTTCAACCATTGTGGGAAGACAGTGTGGCGATTCCTCAGGGATCTAGAACTAGAAATACCATTTGACTCAGCCATCCCATTACTGGGTATATACCCAAAGGAATATAAATCATGCTGCTATAAAGACACATGCACAGGTATGTTTATTGTGACACTATTCACAATAGCAGAAACTTGGAACCAACCCAAATGTCCAACAATGATAGACTGGATTAAGAAAATGTGGCACATGTACACCATGGAATACTATGCAGCCATAAAAAATGACGAGTTCACATCCTTTGTAGGGACATGGATGAAGCTGGAAACCTTCATTCTCAGGAAACTATGACAAGGACAAAAAACAAAACACCACACGTTCTCACTCATAGGTGGGAATTGAACAATGAGAACACTTGGACACAGGAAGGGGAACATCACACACCAGGGCCTGTTGTGGGGTGGGGGGAGGGGGGAGGGATAGCATTAAGAGATATACCTAATGTAAATGAGGAGTTAATGGGTGCAGCATACCAACATGGCACATGTATACATATGTAACAAACCTGCACGTTGTGCACATGTGCCCTAGAATCTGCATCAATGACAAGAATTTTTACTTTTTAATTAGAAATAAATATTGCTAAATGGTTAATGGCATTAAAAAATTAAATACTTTAAATACTTTGAATGTGTAGGAACTTGATTTAAAGAACATGTAATAAAAAATTATTTCCATGAACATGTTCTAATTAATCTGAAATACCAGGAGGATAAAAGGTTAAAATTACATCATCTTCGAATTATTTAAAGGAGAGTAATAACAGTAAAATAATCCCAGGCCACTGTGAAGAAATCTTTGAATAGACACAGCTGCAAATTTACTATATGTGCATTTCCTTTTAATGATATTTGCATGCATTTTATTACCAAGATGAAAGTCATTTGATATCTTAAGCTTGGCAAGAGACAAAAATCAAAGTAGCTGCTGGGTTTTCCTAGAAAAGTGTAATTGTGTTTAATTTTAATCCAAAAGTGCAGAAACATTTATATAGCATTAATTGTTTTTAATTTTAATCAAAAGTACAGAAACATTTATATAGCATTTTCCAAAGTAAAATTTTGACATTACCATAATAACACTTTTAGTTCTGTCTCACCACCACTTTGTTCATATTACAACTTAATTGACTATATGAATGAAAAGTTACAGCTTAATTTAATACAGAGGAGAAAAGGGACAAAAGGTGAATATGTATATTTTTTAACTTAAATTTAACAATACCTTTAGACCTATAAAGAAAGCTGCAAAAAAGAAATACATGTAGTTCTCAGATAGTCTTCATCTAGCTTCCTCAAGTCTTTACATCTTGTATAACCTTGGAATAATTATCAAAACCAGGATATTTACACTGATGCATATTATCAAGAGACCATATTCAAATTTTTCAAATTGTCCCAATGTATATTTTTTCTGGTTCAGGATCCAGTGTTTCACATTGTTATTAAAATTATTAGGCCTCAATCTCCTTGAATCTGGAACAGTTTATTAATCTTTATTTATTTATTATAACCTTGATAGTTTTGAAGTGTACTGAGGAGTTATTTTGTACAGTGTCCTTCAAGTTGAGTTTGCCTGAAAATCTCTCATGCTTAGATTGGTTGATGAATTTTTGAGGAGACTACCACAGAAAAGATATTCTGTCCTTCTAAGTATATTATACTGCAAGGTACATGATATGGATATGTCATCACTTGTGATGTTAGCATTAATCATTTGTTGAAGGTGATATCTGCAAGGTTTCTCCATGGTAATGTTGCCTTTTATTCTCCTCTGTAGTTAATAAGTATCTTTTGGGGAGATACTTTAGGACTATGCAAATGTTTTGTTTCTCATGATAGTTTAGCCCACTAATTTAGCATTTGCTGATGATTCTTGTCTGTAGTAATTGTTACTATGGTGTCTGCCAAATAGTGATTTTTCTATTTCCATCATTTCATCTTTTAACTTTATTTATTTATTTATTAAATTACTTTCAAGGCAGGTTCTTGCTCTGTCACCCTATCTGGAGTGCGGTGGTGTGATCATAGCTTATAGCCTCAAACTACTGGGCCCATGTGATCCTCCTACCTCAGCCTCCCAAGTAGCTAGGACTACAGGTGCATATCACCACACCCAGCTAAGTTTTTAAAATTATTTTTTGTAGAGATAGGGTCTCCCTGTGTTGTCCAGGCTGTTCTTGAACTCCTGGCCTCAAACAATCTGCCCACCTCAGCCACCCAAAGCACTGGGATTGCAGGCATGAGCCACCACACCTGGGCCATTTTTTCTATATTTTTGAACTGGAATTTTACCAAAAGGAAGAGCGGTCCCTTGTCTCCCAGTTATTTATTGACTTACTTATTTCACCATGGACTCATGGGTATTTATTTTATTCTATGAGTTATAATTCATTGCTACCACTATTTTTTTTACTCAAATTCTTCCAAGCTTGACTGTTGGGAGCTTCATCAGGCTGACTCTTGTGTCTTTTCATCCTGTCTCCATCAATAGAAAAAAATTATATTTTCTGTCCCACAAGATATTTCAGGTTCATATTGCACTTTCCCTGCCTAAACAATGTAATCAGCCATTTCTCCTAGGTATCTTTGGTGCTAGTATGTGCCAGGTGTACTTATTGCTACTGGGGTTTCATTGCCTTTAGTCCCACTCATCAGAGGAGGGTCCAAAAATGTTTGTTTGTATATAGATACACAACTACATCTATTTCTGTATCCATCTTTAAAAATACATATTTAAAAAGATGCATTTATACTGACACCTCTGATTCTAATCACAGCCTTCTTATTATTTATAATTCCTTTTTCTGACTGAAACTTAACTCTTATCAACTACAACATATTTACATATTTGCTCTATCCTACAACTCACATAAAGTAGTTTCAAAATTGTTAACCTAGAACGCTGTAGAAAAACAAATTTACCAAATGTAGTACAATATTTGTGTACAAATTTTTTGTCTTTATCCTTCCCATAAACAGTAGTCTAAATATTGTTCTCCAAAGTTACTTAGTTTAAGTATTTCCTTTCCCATCCCAGTCTGTGTGGTTAAGTTATTCATTTAATATAAATCTAGGTAGGTTTAATTGTTACCATTTGTATCATGTTTTGGGCCACTCAATCATCTTTTTTGATTTTCATTAATTTGTTTTAAGGAAATGTGAAACATTAATATGGTTAGTTCTAAGAATAAGAACTGTGCAAAACATTACACTCAGAAAAAGGTCATGCCTCTTTTTTCCTTCCACTTCATTTGCATTTCCCCATTCTTTTCACTCATTTTTACCTACCTGCTGTAGATAATAAATCTTGTTAAAATCTGATCTGTCTTCCTTGTATTTATCTTTGTGCACATAGATTTTCATATATCCACTCCTTTAATTTATATGAAAGGTATAGTATAATAGATTCTTATCTGAATGTTACTTTTACACTAAAAAATATACGCGGGAAAACATTTCATATTAGTTCACAAGGATCTTCTTTATTCTTTTGACAGCCTCATATTACTTCATCCTGTGAATGTATCATAGTTCATTTAAATTATCTTAGGTGTGAGCATTTAGGTTATGTCCAATATTTTGCAATTATGGATAATGCTGTAATAAATAATCTAGAGCATATTTAATTTTACATTGCTGAAGGATACCTTCAGGGTATATTTCTAGAAGAGAGATTTCTGGTTCAAAGAGTAAGTGCATATATAGTTTTGTTAGGTACTGCAAAAGTTACTTGAGGAGGGTTCAGCTCTGCATTTCCAAGGCAATGAATGAGAGTATTGTCATATTTTGAAATTTTTATCAATCTAGTAGTTGAGAAATGCTATCTCAGAGTAGTAATTTTTAGTTCTCAAATTATGAGTGAGCCTACCACATTTTTATATTTTTAAGGAACATTTTTATATTCTCATGAGTCTACTGTTTATGTATTTTTTTTCCATTTTTTTTTCTATTGAGTTTTTGGTCTTTTGCCTTTTAAGAGTGATTTTTATTTTAGGGATACTTTGTATATAGTATAAATTGCACTTTTCTCTAGTTAGTTTTCTTTTGAATTTGTCTATAATATTTTTGGTCATAATATCATAAATCTAGTCAAATTTATCAGTCTTTTATTGTATTGCTTCTAGATTTTAAATCATAGTTAGATATTCTTTCCTCAGAGTGAGGTTAACAAGGAATTTGTGCATGTTTTCTTCTAGTATGTCTATGGTTTTGTTTTTGTTTTTACATTTATAATCCTGATCCATCTAAAGTTTATTTTTGTGCATAGTATAAAATATGAGTATTATTTTTTCTCTTTCCAAATGGCTATGTTGCTGTACCAGCATCACTTATTAAAAAGTCAATGTTTATCTCAGTAATTTGAGATAAAACCTCATCATATGCTGTTTTTACAGGTACTTGCATCAATTTCTGCATTTTCTATTCCTTCATCTAGTCCATGTGTCTATTCAAAAGCCAGTAGGGCACTGTCTTAATTAGAAAAACTTTAAAGTATGTTTTAATATTTAGCAAACAGCCTTGTCTCATAAATTTTATTATCAATGCTTTCCTGAATCTTCTTACATTTTTTGTATAAATTAACATCAGCTTGTGTAACTGTATAAAAAGCTTGTTGATTTTTTAAAATTAGGATTGCATTTTATAAATTTTAAAATTAAGGTAGGAAGAAAATATTTCCTGGTAGTTTTGATTCATTCTATACTAGAATATGAGATAACTTTCCATTTATTTAAAACTATTTTTCAATTTTATTATTATTATATTTTAAGTTTTAGGGTACATGTGCACAATGTGCAGGTTTGTTACATATGTATACATGTGCCATGTTGGTATGCTGCACCCATTAACTCATCATTTAGCATTAGGCATATCTCCTAATGCTATCCCTCCCCCCTCCCCCCACCCCACAACAGTCCCCAGAGTGTGATGTTCCCCTTCCTGTGTGCATTTGTTCTCATTGTTCAATTCCCACCTATGAGTGAGAACATGTGGTCTTTGGTTTTTTGTCCTTGCGATAGTTTGCTGAGAATGAAGGTTTCCAGTTTCATCCATGTCCCTACAAAGGACATGAACTCATCATTTTCTATGGCTGCATAGTATTCCATGGTGTATATGTGCCACATTTTCTTAATCCAGTCTATCGTTGTTGGACATGTGGGTTGGTTCCAAGTCTTTGCTATTGTGAATAGTGCCGCAATAAACATACGTGTGCATGTGTCTTTATAGCAGCATGATTTATAATCCTTTGGGTATATAACCAGTAATGGGATGGCTGGGTCAAATGGTATTTCTAGTTCTAGATCCCTGAGGAATCACCACACTGACTTCCACAATGGTTGAACTAGTTTACAGTCCCACCAACAGTGTAAAAGTGTTCCTATTTCTTCACATCCTCTCCAGCACCTGTTGTTTCCTGACTTTTGAATGATTGCCATTCTAACTGGTGTGAGATGATATCTCACTGTGGTTTTGATTTGCATTTCTCTGATGGCCAGTGATGATGAGCATTTTTTCATGTGTTTTTTGGCTGCATAAATGTCTTCTTTTGAGAAGTGTTTGTTCATATCCTTCACCCACTTTTTGATGGGGTTGTTTTTTTCTTGTAAATTTGTTTAAGTTCTTTGTAGATTCTGGATATTAGCCCTTTGTCAGATGAGTAGGTTGCGAAAATTTTCTCCCATTCTGTAGGTTGCCTGTTCACTCTGACGGTAGTTTCCTTTGCTGTGCAGAAGCTCTTTAATTTAATTAGATCCCATTTGTCAATTTTGGCTTTTGTTGCCATTGCTTTTGGTGTTTTAGACATGAAGTCCTTGCCCATGCCTATGTCCTGAATGGTATTGCTTAGGTTTTCTTCTAGGGTTTTTATGGTTTTAGGTCTAATATGTAAGTCTTTAACCCATCTTGAATTAATTTTTGTATAAGGTGTAAGGAAGGGATCCAATTTCAGCTTTCTACATATGGCTAGCCAGTTTTCCCAGCACCATTTATTACATAGGGAATCCTTTCCCCATTGCTTGTTTTTCTCAGGTTTGTCAAAGATCAGATGGTTGTAGATATGAGGCATTATTTCTGAGGGCTCTGTTCTGTTCCATTGATCTATATCTCTGTTTTGGTACCAGTACCATGCTGTTTTGGTTACTGTAGCCTTGTCATATAGTTTGAAGTCAGGTAGCATGATGCCTCCGGCTTTGTTCTTTTGGCTTAGAATTGACTTGGCAATGCAGGCTGTTTTTTGGTTCCATATGAACTTTAAAGTAGTTTTTTCCAATTCTGTGAAGAAAGTCATTGGTAGCTTGATGGGGATGGCATTGAATCTATAAATTACCTTGGGCAGTATGGCCATTTTCACGATATTGATTCTTCCTACCCATGAGCATGGAATGTTCTTCCATTTGTTTGTATCCTCTTTTATTTCATTGAGCAGTGGTTTGTAGTTCTCCTTGAAGATGTCTTTCAAAGGCATTTCACAGTTTTCCTTACACGGATTTTACACATTTTTGTTGTTTATTTTTAAGAATTTAATCTTTTTGACAAAGAAGGCCACTATATAATTGTAAAGGGATCAATTCAACAAGAAGAGCTAACTATCCTAAATATATATGCACCCAAAACAGGACTACCCAGATTCATAAAGTCCTTAGAGACCTACAAAGAGACTTAGACTCCCAGCCAATAATAATGGGAGACTTTAACACCCCACCGTCAATATTAGACAGATCAATGAGACAGAAGGTTAACAAGGATATCCAGGACTTGAACTCAGCTCTGGACCAAGCAGACCTAATAGACATCTACAGAACTCTCCCCACCAAAATGGGAGAATATACATTCTTCTCAGCACCACATCACACTTATTCCAAAATTGACCACATAGTTGGAAATAAAGCACTCCTCAGCAAATGTAAAAGAGCAGAAATCACAACAAACTGTCTCTCAGACCACAGTGCAATCAGATTAGAACTCAAGATTAAGAAACTCACTCAAAACCGCACGCCATTGTCGAAACTGAACAACCTGCTCCTGAATGACTACTTGGTAAATAATGAAATGAAGGCAGAAATAAAGATGTTCTTTGAAACCAACGAGAACAAAGACACAACATACCGGAATCTCTGGGACACATTTAAAGCAGTCTGTAGAGGGAAATTTATAGCACTAAATGCCCACAAGAGAAAACAGGAAAGATCTAAAATCGACACCATTAACATCACAATTAGAAGAACTAGAGAAGCAAAAGCAAACAAATTCAAAAGCTAGCAGAAGGCAAGAAATAACTAAGATCAGAGCAGAACTGAAGGAGATAGAGACACAAAAAACCCTTCAAAATATCAATGAATCCAGGAGCTGGTTTTTTGAAAAGATCAACAAAATACATAGACCACTAGCAAGACTAATAAAGAAGGAAAGAGAGAAGAATCAAATAGATCCAATAAAAATGATAAAGGGGATATTACCACCGATTCCACAGAAATACAAACTACCATCAGAAAATACTATAAACACCTCTACACATATAAACTAGAAAAGCAAGAAGAAATGGATAAATTTCCTGGACACTTATACCCTCCCAAGACTAAACCAGGAAGAAGTTGAATCTCTGAATAGACCAATAACAGGTTCTGAAATTGAGGCAATAATTAATAGCCTACGAACTAAAAAAAAGTCCAGAATGAGATGGATTCAGCAGAATTCTACCAGAAGTACAAAGAGGAGCTGGTACCATTCCTTGTGAAACTATTTCATTCAATAGAAAAATAGGAAATCGTCCCTAACTCATTTTATGAGGCTAGAATCATCCTCATACCAAAGCCTGGTAGAGACACAACAAAAAAAAAAGAAAATGAGAATTTTAGGCCAATATCCCTGATGAACATTGATGCGAAAATCCTCAATAAAATACTGGCAAACCGAATCCAGCAGCACATCAAAAAGCTTATCCACTATGATGAAGTCAGCTTTGTCCCTGGGATGCAAGGCTTGTTCAACATATGCAAATCAATAAACGTAATCCATCACTTAAACAGAGCCAATGACAAAAACCACGATTATCTCAATAGTTGCAGAAATGGCCTTCCACAATATTCAACACCCCTTCATGCTAAAAATTCTCAATAAACTAAGTATCGATGGAACATATCTGAAAATAATGAGAGCTATTTATGACAAACCCACAACCAATATCATACTGAATAGGCGAAAACTGAAAGCATTCCCTTTGAAAACCAGCCCAAGACAAGGATCCCGTCTCTCACCACTCCTTTTCAATATAGTGTTGGAAGTTCTAGCTAGGGCAATCAGGCAAGAGAGAGAAATAAAGGGTACGTATTCAATTAGGAAAAGAGGAACTCAAAATGTCTCTGTATGCAGATGATGTGATTTTATATTTAGAAAACCCCATTGTCTCAGCACAAAATCTCCTTAAGCTGATAAGGAGCTTCAGCAAAGTCTCAGGATACAAAATCAATGTGCAAAAATCACAAGCATTACTACACAACAATAAGAGACAAACAGAGAGCCAAATCATGAGTGAACTCCCATTCACAATTGCTACAAAGAGAATAAAATCCCTAGGAATCCAACTTACAAGGGATGTGAAGGACTTTTTCAAGGAGAACTACAAGCCACTGCTCAACTAAATAAAAGAGGACACAAACAAATAGAAGAACATTCCATGCTCACGGATAGGAAGGATCAGTATTTTGAAAATGGCCATACTGCCTAAGTCATTTATACATTCAATGCTATCTCTGTCAAGCTACCACTGACTTTCTTCACAGAATTGGAAAAACTACTTTAAAGTTCATATGGAACCAAAAAAGAGCCTGCATTGCCAAGACAATCCTAAGTAATAAGAACAAAGCTGGAGGCATCATGCTGTCTGACTTCCAACTATACTACAAGGCTACAGTAATCAAAACAGCATGGTACTGGTACCAAACAGATATATAGACCAATGGAATGGAACAGAGGCCTCAGAAATAACACCACACATCTACAACCATCTGATCTTTGACAAGCTTAACAAAAACAAGCAATGGGGAAAGGATTCCCTATGTAATAAATGGTGCTGGGAAAACTGGCTAGCCATATGTAGAAAGCTGAAACTGGATCCCTTCCTTACACCATATACGAAAATTAACTCAAGATGGATTAAAGACTTAAATGTTAGACCTACAACCATAAAAACCCTAGAAAAAAACCTAGGCAATACCTAGGCACAGGCAAAGACTTCATGAGTAAAACACCAAAAGCATTGGCAACAAAAGCCAAAACAGACAAATGGGATCTAATTATACTAAAGAACTTCTGCATAGCAAAAGAAACTATCATCAGAGTGAACAGGCAACCTACAGAATGGGAGAAAATCTTTGCAATCTACCCATCTGACAAAGGGCTAATATCCAGAATCTACAAAGAACTTAAACAAATTTACAAGAAAAAAACATCCCCATCAAAAGGTGGGCAAAGGATATGAACAGACACTTCTCAAAAGAAGACATTTATGCAGCCAACAGACACGAAAAAATGCTCATCATCACTGATCATCAGAGAAATGCAAATCAAAACCACAATGAGATGCCATCTCATGCCAGTTAGAATGGTGATCATTAAAAAGTCAGGAAGCAACAGATGCTGGAGAGGATGTGGAGAAATAGGAACACTTTTACACTGTTGGTGGGAGTGTAAAGTAGTTTAGCCATTGTGGAAGACAGTGTGGCGATTCCTCAAAGATCTAGAACTAGAAATACCATTTGACTCAGCGATCCCATTACTGGGTATATACCCAAAGGATTATAAATCATGCTACTATAGAGACACATGCACACCTATGTTTATTGTGGCACTATTCACAATAGCAGACTTGGAACCAACCCAAATGTCTATCAATGATAGATTAGATTAAGAAAATGTGGCACATATACACCATGGAATACTATGCAGCCATAAAAAATGATGAAATCATGTCCTTTGCAGGGACATGGCTGAAGCGGGAAACCATCATTCTCAGCAAACTATCACAAGGACAGAAAACCAAACATGCATGTTCTTACTCACAGGTGGGGGTTGAACAATGAGAACACATGGATGCAGGGCAGGGAACATCCCACACGGGGGCCTGTTGTGGGGTGGGGGCCTGGGGGAGGGATAGCATTAGGAGAAATACCTAATGTAAATGATGAGTTGATGGGTGCAGCAAACCCATCACATTGCAGCAAACACATGGCACATGTGTGCCTATGTAACAAACCTGCACGTTGTGCACATGTACCCTAGAACTTAAAGTATAATCAAAAAAAGAAAAGAAAAAAAATTTAATCTTTTTGTTGTTATTATAAAAAGGGTTAGCTCTACAATATGTTCTCTGATTGCTTCATGATTATGTGTATAGAACATATTGCTTTCTACATGTTAATTTTATACCCAGCTACTTCACTGAATTCTTTTATTGTTTAAGTGTTATCCTTTTTTTTTAGGTTTTTGAGATATATTACCATATCTTCTGCAAATAGAGATGGTTTTATTTCTTCTCTACCAATTATTATTCCTCTGATATTATCCTGTCTATTGCATTGGCTAATAGATCTAGTAAAATATTAAATACTTTACTAGTACAATACTTTACTATACACTATTGTACTTATATGTATATATGTATTTATCTTAAGAAAATATCAATTTCTGTTTTCTTGAATTCTTCTTTTAAGAATGGTCATTGAATTTTGTTAAAGGCTATTTCACCACCTACAAAGATAATCATATGCATTTTTTGCCTTAGAACTATTAATATGGGATATGCTAATAATTCATGTCCTAAAATTGAACAAACCGTGCATTTTAGGGATAGATTTTATTTGGTCATGATGTCCAATTTATTAAATGTGGGATATATTCTGCTTAGTAATATTTTATTTTATAATTTTGTGACAATAGTCATAACAGGTATTTGTCCATAGCTTTTGTTTTTAAAATTATCTTTATCAGGCCTGTAATCGCAGCACTTTGGGAGGCCAAGGTGGGCAGATTACCTGAGGTCAGGAGTTCAAGACCAGCCTGGCCAACATGGTAAAACCCTGTCTCTACTAAAAATACAAAAACTAGCTGGATGTGGTGGCGTGCACCTGTAATCTCAGCTACCAGGGGGCTAAGGTGGGAGAATCGCTTGAATGCGGGAGGCGAGGTTGCAGTGAACTGAGAGCATGCCACTGCACTCCACCCTGAGCAACAGAGTGAGACTCCATCTTAAAAAAATTATCTTTATTAGGTTTAGTTATTAATGTTGTATTTAGTTCATAAAAGAAATAAGAACTTTTTCTTTATTTTCAACACTGAAAAAAGGATGAGTTCATGTCCTTTGCAGGGACATGGATAAAGCTGGAAACCATCATTCTCAGCAAACTATCACAAGGACAGAAAACCAAACATGCATGCTCTCACCCACTGGTGGGAGTTGAACAATGAGAACACATGGACATAGGGTGGGGAACATAGAGCATTGAAAGTACATGGCTTTTTGAAGTCCATTAAAATTACCCTGAAAGATGTCTCCGTTTGGCATTTTTATATGAAGCTCTTCAATAAAGTTCTCTATTTTTCCTATGGAAATTATTTTAGAAGCTATATACCTTAAATGAAGTTAGTTTTGGTAGGCTTTATTTTCTTAGAAAATTATTTACTTCATGTAGGTTTTCCAATTTATTTGCCTAGAACTCCACAAAGTAGTCCCTTATGATTTAAAAAACACACATACAACTTTTGTTGAAATGGTTCTTTGTCGTTTCCTGTTTCAAATACTTGTGCTTTCTGTTTTGCTTGATCAACTTAGCCAGTGATTTATATACTGTGCCCTTAAAAAAAAGAAAGTTAATTTCTTGTTACCTCTTTTTATTTTCTGTCTTATCATTTTGTACTTTTACATTTTTTAAATTCTTTTTTACTATTTACTTTCATGGTCTTTTCTAAGATTTCAAGGAAAGTAAGACTTCATTTATTTTCATTCTTGTATTTATTGTGTAAAATAAATTTTATTGATATATTTAAGGTATGCAACATGGTGTTATAAAATATATATGTATATATGTTATATATATTTTATATGTATATATGTATTTATTTGTATATATGTATTTATGTATTTATTTTATATGTATATATTTTATATGTATATATTTTATATGTATATATAATTATTATAGTGGAATAAATTAACATATTCTTCATCTCACATAGTTATCCATTTGCCCCAGTGGCAAGAGCAGCTATAATCTACTCATTTAGCAAAAATTCTGAATACATTATGCTCTTAATAACTATAGTTCTCATGTTACAAATTATACCTTTTGACTTTTTCATCATACATGTTTGCTAATTTGTATTCTTTTACCTGCAAGTCACTATTTACTTGACCCCATAAATGCTGTTTTATTATCTATTTCTCTATATTTGGCCTTTTTGGAAAAAAAAAATTCCACGTATAAGTGATATCATGCAATATTTTCCTTTCTATGTCTTATATCATTTAGCCTAATGTCCTCGAGGTCCATGTATATTGTGGCAAAGGGCAGGTGGTTTTTTTTAAGGCTGAATAATATTCTATTCTATACACATATTTTGTATATAATATATATAATATACAGATAATATATATAATATTATATATATTATATATTATATTATATATTATATATATTCTATGTATTATATGTATTATATATTATATATTATATATATTATATGTATTATATATTATATATTATATATATTATATGTATTATATTTATATATTATATATAATATATAATATATAATATATTATATTGTAATACATAATATAAAATATATAATATATTATATTAAAATGTATTATATTATATTATAATATAACATAAATATATATGATAATATGTTATAATATATAATGTATAATATAATATATGATATTATATATATATAATAATATAATATATATATTATATTATATAATATATAATATATTATACATATTATATATATTATATGATATATATAATATAATATATATATTATATGATATATATAATATGATATATATCATATAATATATATAATATATGATATATTATATTATATATATATATCATATAATATATATAATATGTATATATATATATATATATAATATATTATATATATGATATATATTATAAATAATATATAATATATATTATATAATATATTATATATATAATATACAATATATAATATGTAATATATTATATATACAATATATAATATATATTATATAATATATATTATATATATTATATATATTATATAGTAATTATATATACTATATAATATATTATATGATATATAATATATATAAAATACGTTATATATATAAATATATATAATTTATAATATATATAAAATACGTTAGCCTAAATATATAAAATTGATATCTTTTTCAGGTAGGTTGTCTTGTGTATATAGAAATGCTATGAATTTTTATATGTTGATTTTTTATCCCGCAAATTTACTGAATTCATTTATTGGATCTAAAAGTTTTGTGATGGAGTCTTTGGGGTTTTCTACATACAGGACCATGTCATCTGCGAATAGAGGTAATGTTATTTCTTCCTTTCTGATATCGATACCATTAATTTTGTTTCTTGCCTAACTTCTGTTGGTAGTACTTCCTTAACTGTGTTGAATAAAAGTGGCAAGAGTGGGCATCCAGGCCCTGCAGATCTTAAAGAAAACGCTTTCAGTTTCCCATCATTGATTCTGATGTTAGCTGTGAGTTTTTCCATAAATGGGCTTTATTATATTGAGGAACTTTTATTCTGTACCTAAACTGTTAAGAGTTTTCATCAAGAAATGATATTAAACTTTGTTGAATTTTTTTCTGCATCAATTTATTGACTATGTGTTTTTGTCTTTTAGTCTGTTAGTGTGATGCATCACATTGATTGATGTGCATGTGTTAAACCAGCCTTCCTTGCATGCCAGGGATACATCCTACTTGATCATGATATATAATCTTTTGGATGTATTGTTAAATTTGATTTGCTAACATTTTATTGAGTATTTTTCCATCAATGTCCATCAGATAAATTGGCTTGTAGGCTTCTCATCTTGTGTTGTCTTTGTCTGGATTAGGTATCAAGGTGATGCTGGCATTGTAAAATTTGTTTGAGAGTATTCTCTCTGGCTCTATATTTTGGATGAGGAAAAGTATTAGTATACTTTCTTCTTTGAAAGTTTGATACAATTCATCTGTAAAATGATCTGGTCCTCTTTGCTGAGAGGTTCTTATTTACTACTTCAATCTCTTTGTTGTTAGTCTGGTCAGGCTTTCTCTTTCTTCCCGATTTAATCTTGGGAAGTTGTATTTTTCTAGAAATTTGACTATTTTTTCTAGGTTATCAAATTTGTTGGCATTTAACTGTTCATAGTAGTTCCTTGCAATCCTTTCTGCGGCTGAGGTGTCCATTTTAATTTCTCTACATTTATTTTTGATTTTATCTATTTGACTCATCTCCTTTTTTCCTTAGTTAGTCTAGCTAAGGGTTTGTTGATTATTTTTTCTATTTATCCTTATAGATCTGCAAATATTTTCTTCATTTTTGAGACCCCATTCTTAAGTACATAGAAATTTAGATTTCTTAAGAATGCTAGGTAAATTGAAACTTTAGTTATTATAAAGTGACCCTGTTAAACTCTAGTAATTTTTTGCTTTAAATTCTATTTTGTCTTGTATTAATTTAAGTAAACTAACACTTTTGTTTGTTTAATATATGCATGGTATATTTTGTCCACAACAATAATTTCAACATCTCTGTAAATGATCATTTTAGATACATATTTTAAACATTTAATTGAATTTGTTTTTTATTTTATTTTATTTTTTTAAGTTCTGGGGAACATGTACAGGATGTGCAGGTTTGTCACATAGATAAACATGTGCCATGGTGGTTTGCTGCACCTATCGACGCATCACCTGGGTATTAAGTCCAGATACATTAATTCTTTTCCTTAATGCTCTTCCCCCAGCCTGCCATCCCCCGACAGGCCCTAGTGTGTGTTGCTTCCCTCCCTGTGTCCATGTGTTCTCATTGTTAAGCTCCCACTTATAAGTGAGAACATGTGGTATTTAGTTTTCTGTTCTTCTGTTGGTTTACTGAGGATAGTGACTTCCAGCTCCATCCATGTCCCTGCAAAGGACATGATCTCATTCCTTTTCATGGCTTCATAGTATTCCATGGTGTGTATGTACCACATTTTCTTTATACAGTCTATCATTGATGGGCATTTTGGTTGATTCCATGTCTCTACTATTTTGAATAGTAATGCAATGAACATACACGTGCATGCATCTTTGTAATAGAATGATTTATATTCCTTTGGGTATATACTCAGTAATGGGATTGCTGGGTCAGATGGTATTTCTGATTCTAGATCTTTGAGGAATCACCATACTGTCTTCCACAATGATTGAAGTAATTTACATTCCCACCAACAGTCTATAAGCATTCCTATTTCTCTGCCACCTCACCAGCATCTGTCATTTCTTGACTTTTTAATAATCACCATTCTGATCGGCATGAGATAGTATCTTGTGGCGGTTTTGATTTGCATTTTTCTAATGATTGGTGATGTTGAGCTTTTTTCAAATGTTTGTCGGCTGCACATATGTCTTTTTTTGAGAAATGTCTGTTCATGTCCCTTGCCCACTTTTTAATGAGGTTGTTTGTTTTTTCTTGTAAATTTGCTTAAGTTTCTTGTAGATTCTGGATATTAGACCTTTATCACATGGATAGATTGCAAAAATTTTCTCCCATTCTGTAGGTTCTCTTCATTCAGATGATAGTTTCTTTTGCCATGCAGAAGCTCTTTAATTAGATCCTATTTGTCAGTTTTTGCTTTTGTTGCAGTTGCTTTTGGTGATGTCATCATGAAATCTTTGCCCATGCCTATGTCTTCAATGGTATGGCATAGATTTTCTTCTAGGGATTTTACAGCTTTGGGTTTTACATTTAAGTCTTTAATCCATCTTGAGCTAAATTTTGTATAAGGTGTAAGGAAGGGTTCCAGTTTCAATTTTCCGTATATGGCTAGCCAGTTCTTCCAGCACCATTTATTAAATAGGGAATCCTTTTCCCATTGCTTGATTTCATTAGGTTTGTCAAAGATCAGATGGTTGTAGATGTATGGTCTTATTTCTAAGTTCTCTATTCTGTTCCATCAGTCTATGTGTCTGTTTTGTACCAGTACCATGCTCTGGTGTTGTGTGCATATCTTTGTAATCACTATAGCCTCTTGCTTAATTGATCCATTAATTATTACATAATAATTTTGTTTCAGTATTTGCTTGTCTAGGATGTACTATTTTTCCTTCATTTCTGAGATATAACTTTGCTGGGTATAGTATTATCAGTGGTAGGCTTTTTTTTCCTTTTAGCACTTTCAACATATCCATTCTCTCTTGGTCAGTAAGGTTTCTGCTGAGAAATCTACTGTTAATCTGTTGGAGATTTCTTCGTATATGACTTTTCTTCTCGTTTACAGCTTTTAGAATTCTCTATCTTTCACTTCTGACAGTTTGAGTATAACATGCCTCGGAGAAGACCTTTTAGAGTTGAATATTCTTGGAGATTGTTGAGCTTCCTGTATCTGGATGTCTATTTCTCTCCCAAGACTTCAGAATACATCAGGTATTATTGTATTAAATATGTTTTCTCTGGCTTTTTCCATCTTCTGAAACTCTTGTTTTTCCAATTTCTTTGTATTATCAATATGTATTCTCTTATACCTTGCTGGGTTCCTTTAAGATCTTCATTTTGAATTTCTTTTTAGTTAATTCATTTTTTTTCCTTTGGTGTCTGTTACTGGTGTTCCTTTGAAGTGGTCACATTTACTTGCTTCTTCTTGTTTCTTGTGTTTCTGCATTACTCATTTGGTGTAACATTTGTTTCTTCCAATTATATAGACTAACTTTTATAGAGAAAGTTGGGTAGGATGCTTTGGCTTCAGTTCTGGGTATTTGCAGTGTGTAGTCTTTGTATATTTTTTTTTGACTCCAGTCACTGTCACCAGTGTCTGTGAATTCCTCAGCAGCTTAGACAGATGTTTTTTGTGAAGCCTGTGGTGAGGGTTTGCTGTAGCTAGGGATGCTGGTTGGGCTGAACCTCAGGTACCTGGGGATCATGCATGCACCAGTAGTGGCAGTACTGGGCCTTGAATAGGCCACTCCCTGGGCTCCTGAGCAACACATGCAGGTGCCAGCTGTGGTAGTGCTGGTGGTGGCATGGCCTGACCACTCCTTGGGATTCTGGCTGGTGTGCATGGGCTCTAGAGGTAAAGACTGTGACCTCAGACAGGCTGTTCCACAGGCCCCTGTGCAGTATGCACAGACACCAGTGGTGTCAGTTACCATGGTGTTCCTGGCAGGGCTAGTCCTTGGGCCTGCAGATTGAATACTTGGCTGTGCAGTGGCCCCTCCAGTGGTCAGGATTACTGTTGGTAATTGTGGCCCTGGGCATCACTGTTGGTGGTGGTGGCCCTGGGCTGGTGGCTCTCAGGACTTAGAAAACATGCACATTAGCTCCCTATATCCTGGAGGCCCTCTCTGTAATGTGCTAGACTGCCTGTTCCCTGGGGTGTAGGGTATTGAGTGGGCTCAGGTGTTGGGGACATGGCTGCAACACTGGGTCCAGCTGGTGTTGTGATGCTGTAGCCCTCTGAGTGGATTTAGGGTGATGTCAGTGGAAACCCAGGGATGTGGAGATGTGAGGGCTTTGGGGTCTCAGAACAGGATTCAGTCTCATAGTGGTTTCATTCGCAAAATGGCACCATGCTATAGCATCTTGAGTCCCGCTGTGAGTTGGGACCCAGTATAAATTCCCCCTCTGACACAGTGCACCCACATAAACTCCAAGCACCTCTTTAAACTGGGCTCAGGACTTGTGAAGTCTTAGGGGCTCTCTTGTAGCTAAGGATTGCAGACACCTATAGTGGTTATGTGGTGGTGATCTCCCATTTTCTTTTTTTCTACAAAGGGGAGTCGTTCTTGGCTCCAAGTGAATTCTGGCTGGCTGCTTTACTTCATTTCCCTCTGTATGCTGTGATCTCACATGTCTGTGCCTCAGAGTGTGCTTGTCATGTCTCTGATAAATTCCAGTGTTCTCCCTTAGATACTCTATTCAACATGTGATTATTAACTTGCTATTTTAGTACTTCTTCGTGGTGGAAGCGAGGGATAAGCACTTCTAGCCAGTTATCTTTATTACTTGTCTCTGAAAAACTTTTTAAAATGTATAAATCATGCCTAATTTTCTGGCTGTACAAAAACAGGCCAAATATGAACGTGGGCTTTAATTTGACCAGTGCTTCTTATAAGATTTCTCAAGAGGGGATCATGGGTACAGAGTTTCCTATGCTGTTAAATGGTTACAACTTTCTTTCTTTTCTTTCTTTCTTTCCCTCTTTCTTTTCTTTCTTTTCTTTCTTTCTTTCTTTCTTTCTTTCTTTCTTTCTTTCTTTCTTTCTTTCTTTCTTCTTTCTTTCTCTTTCTTTCCTTTCTCTCTCTCTCCTTACTTCCTTCCTTCTTCTTTCTTTCCTACCCTACCTCACTCTTCTTAACTTCCTTGCTTTCTTCCTTTGCTTCTTTGTTCCTTTCTTTCTACATTTCCTACTTTTTTTCTTATTTTAATAGCTTTATTGACATATAAATTACAAAAATATATGAGACATAAAGTGTGCAATTTGATAAGTTTTGACCTATGCACACAACTGTGAAAGCATTAACATAATATAGATAATGAACATATTTATACCCCCAAAAGTTTCCTTAGGACTTTTGTAATCCCTCTTTCCCTACTCTCCCCTCATCCTCAGGCTACACATCATCTGCTTTGGCACTAGAAATTAGTTTGTATTTCTAAACTTTTATGTAAATAAAATCACATAACTATTTTCTATATATTTTGTACTTGCAGTCAGCTTGGTTGGATATGAAATCCTTTCTTAATTCTCACGCACTGAATATTTTTAATATTTTTCTCCATTCTTACTTTTCTTTGGATGTTAATTTAGAAAAATATAAGTCTAAATCTTATCCTTTTGCCTTTGTAAGTTATTTGATGTCTTTGTGTCTGGAGTCTTTATGTCTGGAGGTTTTGGTGATTTTTCTTTATCTTTTCAACGTAATAGTGGTACCAATATATGTCTCAGGATTGATTATTTTGGGTTGGTTTTCTCAGCTGTCTCATGGGTTCGTCCAGTATCAAGGTTCATTTTCTTTTTTCTTAATTTCTGAAAAGTCTTTGGATTCCAGTTTTGAATATTAGTGGGGTTTTTGTTGTTGTTGTTTTTGTTGTTGTATTTTCATTCTTCTTGGACACCATTTATATGAATGTTGTTTCCACATTGCCTGATTCTTTACTTAATTTTTGTTCTTATGGCCTTTTTTTATTGACTTTTTAGAATTCATAATGCTATTATACTTTCTTAAATTAGTTTATTATGACATGAACCCCCACAGCCTAGTAGGTAACAATTTACTTCCCTCAGTGAGCTTCTTCAATGATAACTGAACTTCTTGTTGTGGCCAAACTTAAAGATTGTGCTCTTGAACAAACCCCTCAGTTTCTGCTTTATTAACCTTCTGTCCTGCTAAGCTGTCAGTGAGCAGTGCTCTGCTCAGCACGACTGTTCTCCTATAACTGCTGCATACACCTACATAATAGCAAACATAAAGGACATTGTTCACCCAAAACACAGAACAAGTAAAATTGTGTTGTAACAATTTGCAAACCATTCCTTGAAGGCTTTGGAATAAGAGAAGTATAAAATAGAAATATAGAATAATTACTACAGCCATGAAAAGTACTACTTTAGAGCCCATAATCTTTTGAGAAATGTCTGTTCATATACTTTGCCCAATTTTTGATGGAGTTGTTTGTTTTTTTCTTGTAAATTTGTTTAAATTCTTTGTAGATTCTGGATATTAGCCCTTTGTCAGGTGGATAGATTGCGAAAATTTTCTCCCATTCTGTAGGTTGCCTGTTCACTCTGATGATAGTTTTCTTGCTGTGCAGAAGCACTTTACTTTAAATAGATCCCATTTGTCAATTTTGGCTTTTGTTGCCATTGCCCTTGGTGCTTTAGTCATGAAGTCTTTGCCCATGCCTATTTCCTGAATGGTATTACCCAGGATTTCTTCCAGGGTTTTTATGGTTTTAGGTCTTAAGTTTAAGTCTTTAGGCCATCTTAAGTTAATTTTTGTATACGACGTAAGGAAGGGATCCAGTTTCAGCTTTCTGCATATGGCTAGCCAGTTTTCCCAACACCATTTATTAAATAGGGAATCCTTTCCCCATTGCTTGTTTTTCTCAGGTTTGTCAAAGATGTGTGGTGTTATTTCTGAGGCCTCTGTTCTGTTCTATTGGTCTATATATCTGTTTTGATACCAGTACCATGCTGTTTTGGTTACTATAGCCTTGTAGTATAGTTTGAAGTCAGGTACCGTGACGCCTCCAGGTTTGTTCTCTTTGATTAGGATAGTCTTGGCTATATGGGCTCTTTTTTGGTCCCATATAAACTTTAAAGTGTTTTTTTCCAATTCTGTGAAGAACGTCAACGGTAGCTTGATGGGGATAGCATTGAATCTATAAATTACTTTGGGCAGTATGGCCATTTTCACAATATTGATTCTTCCTATCCATGAGCATGGAATGTTTTTCCATTTGTTTGTGTCCTCACTTATTTTGTTGAGCAGTGGTTTGAAGTTCTCCTTGAAGAGGTCCTTCACAGCCCTTTTAAGTTGTATTCCTAGGTATTTTATTCTCTTTGTAGCAATTGTGAATGGGAGTTCACCCATGATTTCGCTCTCTGTTTGTCTGTTACTGGTGTAGGAATGCTTGTGATTTTTGCACATTGATTTTGTATCCTGAGACTTTGCTGAAGCTGCTTGTCAGCTTAAGGAGATTTTGGGCTGAGACGATGGGGTTTTCTAAATACATAATCATGTCATCTGCAAACAGAGACAATTTGACTTCCTCTTTCCCTAACCGAATACCCCTTATTTCTTTCTCTTGCCTGATTGCCCTGGCCAGAACTTCCAATACTATGTTGAGTAGGAGTGGTGAGAGAGGGCATCCTTGTCTTGGGCTGGTATTCAAAGGGAATGCTTCCAGTTTTTGCCCATTCAGTATAATATTGGCTGTGGGTTTGTCATAAATAGCTCTTATTATTTTGAGATACATTCCATCAATACCTAGTTTATTGAGAGTTTTTAGCATGAAGGGTGTTGAATATTGTCGAAGTCCTTTTCTGCATCTATTGAGATAATCATGTGGTTTTTGTCATTGGTTCCGTTTATGTGATGGATTACGTTTATTGATTTGCGTATGTTGAACCAGTCTTGCATCCTAGGGATGAAGCTGACTTGATCATGGTGGATAAGCTTTTTGATGTGCTGCTGGATTCGGTTTGCCAGTATTTTATTGAGGATTTTCGCATCGATGTTCATCAGAAATATTGGCCTGAAATTTTCTTTTTTTCTTGTGACTCTGCCAGGTTTTGGCATCACGATGATGCTGACCTCATAAAATGAGATAGGGAGGATTCCCACTTTTTCTATTCTTTGGAATAGTTTCGGAAGGAATGGTAGCAGCTCCTCTTTGTACCTCTGGTAGAATCTGGCTGTGAATCTGTCTGGCCCTGGCCTTTTTTTGGCTGGTAGGCTATTAATTACTGCCTCAATCTCAGAACTTGTTATTGGTCTATTCAGGATTCGACTTCTTGATTTAGTCTTGGGAGGATGTATGTGTCCAGGAACTTATCCATTTCTTCTGGATTTTCTAGTTTATTTGCATAGAGGTGTTTATAGTATTCTCTGATGGTAGCTTGTATTTCTGTGGGATCAGTGGTGATATCCCCTTTATCATTTTTTATTCTGTCTATTTGGTTCTTCTCTCTTTTCTTCTTTATTAGTCTTGCTAGCGGTCTATCAATTTTGTTGATCTTTTCAAAAAACCCGCTCCTGTATTCATTGATTTTTTTGAAGGATTTTTCTTTTCTCTATCTCCTTCAGTTCTGCTCTGATCTTAGTTATTTCTTGCCTTCTGCTAGCTTTTTAATTTGTTTGCTTTTGCTTCTCTAGTTCTTTTAATTGTGATGCTAGGGTGTCTATTGTAGATCTTTCCTGCTTTCTCTTGTGGGCATTTAGTGCTATAAATTTCCCTCTAGACACTGCTTTGAATGTGTCCCAGAGATTCTGGTATGTTGTGTCTTTGTTCTCATCGGTTTCAAAGAACATCTTTATTTCTGCCTTCATTTCGTTATTTACCCAGTAGTCATTGAGGAGCAGGTTGTTCATCTTGACATATACGTTTAACTATTGAAAGTCTTAAATTTTGTGTGAGACAGCTCAACAGCCATGAAAGAAAATCTTTGGACATCTCTAAATATTGAAGCATGGTTCCATTTATTCCCTTGATACTGAGAAAGGAAAAATAATCTTTTTCTTTCAAATCCATGACACCCTATATCTTTTCATACCATGGCATTATGATGTCATAGGGTGGTATGTTTGTTTATTTGAGTTATAAGTAAATATATTATGAGAGTATATTAAGTAAGGGAATTGTGGTTCAGACCATTAAATTGGAAGCAAAAGTGGTTTTCTCATAGCACTGGAACAGATTCCGACTCCCTCTACAGGTTCATAAAATCCTGTCTACATTGATATGAATTCCTGTGCACATACTCCGGGCATAAGAACAATTTATAAAACAACATGTTCATAGACAAGTTAATGGATGTATCGTCTGCCTTCTATTACACTGGATACAGTAGAGAAATGATAACTAAAACTATTCATTAGGGACAAATTGCATATTGTACTTCAACAGGGCTAAAGGAGTGAGCCAAACGTCCTGCCCTAAAGGAATTTTTTATCCATTTTAAAATTTATTTCATTTCAATAGTTTTTGGGAAACAGGAGGGATTTGTTTACATAGATATTTTCTTTAGTGATAAATTCTGAGATTTTGGTGCACCTGTCACTCAAACCATGTACACTGTACCAAATATATAGTCTTTAATCCCATACCTCCTCCCATTCTTCCTCCGAGTCCTGTAAGTCTATTATATCATTTTATGCCTTGGTGTCCTCATAGCTTAGCTTCTACTTATAAGTGAGAACATACAACATTTGGTTTTCCATTCCTGAGTTACTTGACTTAGAATAATTGTCTCCAACTCCAACCTGGTTGCTGCAAATGCCATTATTTTACTCCTTTTAATGTCTCACTAGTATTCCATGGTATATGTGTATACACTACATTTTTCTTTATCCACTTGTTGAGTGATGAGCATGTGGGCTGGTTTTATATGTTTGCAGTTGCAAATTGTGCTGCTATACACATGCATGTGCAAGTGTCTTTTCTATATAGTGAATTCTTTGCCTCTGGGTAGATACCCAGTAGTGGGATTGCTAAATCAATTTTTAAAACTAGAAGATCTCTTTTGAGATGTAAACAGCCTGATGAAACTCTAGGGATGAAGGTGTTGACTTGCTGTATGCATCTCTTTGTATTTCTTTTTCTCTCAGTACTAAATAAATTAAAAGCTTTAAGGATTTGAAATGGAAACAGAGCCCCATGTTATAATTTTAGATGTGGCAAATTAGACTGTTCTATTAAAAATATTGGATATTTCTGTATGTCCTTAAGGGTAACCTATATATTTTGCACAAGTTTCTCCAGTGCAAGAAGGAAAACAGCTCTGTTATCCATCATATTTTCAGAAACGATCCGATCTGGGTGACAACACACCAGGCTCAAATTACTTATTTATGCAATTAATGCCCAAGTATGTTTCTGTCTGAACAACTATTTGCCATTTTTCAAGACTGTTGACAATACTTTATACCAAAACACTATAAGAAGTTGAATCATCATGGATGGACTCCTAGACCGAGGTTTTTTTTTTGTTTGTTTGTTTTGTTTTTTTGAGGTGGAGTCTCACTGTGTCACCTAGGCTGGGGTGCATTGGCCCGATCTCAGTTCACTGCAACCTCCGTCTCCCCAGTTCAAGCGCTTATCCTGCCTTAGCCTCCCAGAGTGCTGGGATTAGAGGTGCACGCAACCACACCTGGCTAATTTTGTATTTTTTGTAGAGACGGGGTTTCAACATGTTGGCCAGGCTGGTGTGGAACTCCTGACCTCAGGTAATCCACCTGCCTCAGCCTCCCAAAGTGCTGTGATTACAAGCGTGAGCCACTGCGCCCGGCCTTCCTAGACTAAGTATTAACATGATAGGTGGAAAATATTGATACTAGAGCAAGAGCCATCATATTAGAATCATTGTAAGAAGACATTAAAGAATAGTAATAAGATGAATCAACTTAATGAAAGACCAGGAGGTACGCTTTCTCTTTCTTTATAATTGACAAGTATATTAGAGGCATTGCTTTTCAAACTGGGGGTCCCTGGGCCAGTAACATTGGCATCACCTAACATCAGAATGATACTCTAGTTTAACAAGGTAACCAGGTGATTTTTATTTATACCAAAATTTGAAAAAAACTATGGTAGAGTAGGTTAGTATGCATAACTTCATATTAAAATTTGTAGAGTTTTAAAATATCATCCACATTTTAGGTTTGGCATCTTCTCTCTCTCACTCATATTTTGCCTCCCTGTTCTCAAAAAGAAGAGGTGACTCCACTACCTTTAATTTAATTTTATTTTTATATTTTATTAATTTTATTTTCAAAGCCATAGACTGACATGAGAAAGAAGAGGGACAATCTCTTTCACAAAGAAAGAAGTTTGCCTTTTCCAAGATACCTTGGATTCAGAAAAGCTAGATAATTATTGCTTTAGACTCTAAGTTATGGCATACCCTGTCTTCCAGGAAGAACAGTTATTTTTCCTTCTTGGCTCTGAATTCTCACAATAATTAATACCTTTTATGTCAAGAACATATAGAGAAAATACAGTCTCGAGTCCCACTTTGTATGTCATTTTCACAGAGACTTTTCTTTATTGTTGACAATATAGGGAATCCTTGAGATTATGACTATTGCACTGACAACTCTCTTTTTTTAAATCTATGGATTATTCTTTCTCATTCTGTCCTTTTTTTCCTCTTATCGGGGTGCCAGGAAAATGGTATAAAACTTTAATCAGTAAATTTCACTGCGTGTTTTAAGCTTAAAACACATTTTAATGAGCTTAAAACACATTTTATAAGCTTAAAACTATTGTTTGAAATAAGGCCTCTCTTTCTCTCTGAATTTTAAATGTCATGCTATATGAATAATTGAAGGTAACCCTTTTACGTACTGTTAATTTTAATAAGCAGTACCATTACCATCAATGGCACTATGGTACAATTCTTGTGTATGTATTCATTAAACTAAATATAGTTACACGATACAATTTTTAAAATTACTGCCAAATGTAACAAAGCTGCACAAGGAAAAATAGGTTGCTTCCTTAGTAATTCTCTCAAAATATTTAGTTAGTATTTTTAGAATAAACACCAATTTTCAAAATGTAGTATCTTGGCTTCTTTAAAATCACATTGAATTAAATTTGATTTCATCCATTTGGTCATTTGAGACTTTACCTCCAAAAGCTACAATTCTGACATAATTTCAGAGGTGCTTGGCCAAGTACAATAGAAAAAGAAAATGTATAAAGAAATTTGAAAGGTAAAAGAAGTTACATAATTTTAGACACTAATATATTTAAGTGAACAAAAGTTCTATAATTATTTAAAAAGACACAAATACACTGGATGAAACATTATAGTTCAAATTTAGTATGAACTTTAAAGACTGATTTTCAACAGATTTATTTTATTAGGTTTGTGGAGATTCTACCATAATGCATTTTCTAACTCCTAGCTCCTGTCTGATGATTGATAGACTCATTTCAATATTTTGTCAGAAATGTTCAAGCTCAATAAATCATATAGGATGCTATGTTGCTTCCTATAATCTTCTGTGCTTTTGGTTTATTAAACAAGTGAGAGCAAGGATATGTATTAGCAGGAATGCAGGAGAAAACCATAAGAAAAAATTCGTTTTCACCATAGACTTCCTTATCTCGGAGCCCCATGCCCTCTATTCCACTAAAGTCTTTAATCATGGATTTTGGTGTGTTAAATTTTTTTAAAGAACATTAGCTTCCCCCACCACCAAATGTGAAAATAATACAATTTTATTTCAGTCAACTAGGAAAATGTATAAAAGTTTAAAAGGAGAGGAACTACTCTTGCTTCATCTGCAATCCTACTATCTAGGCATAATAAATACCAATATTTGCTGTGTACTTTACTAATCTTTTTCTCCCTTTGGAATGATACTGCATCTACTCTTTTGTACCTTGCTATTGAATGGCTAGTAATATAAAATTTTTATTTTTGCTTTGAAACATGCTCCCTTTTAAAATTAAAATATGTCTGGTTTAAAATTCAAAATAGAATACATAATGTAAAATTTCAAAGTCTTTAAAAATGTTCCATTTTCTACAGGTAACCAGAGTTATCGGTTTGATACACATTGGGACATTTTCTTTTATGCATTTAAGGTATGTGATGGGTGATATGTAAAACAGCTACTTTATATTTTATAATATAATTGGAGTATAGTGTATTAACTTCATATTGATAAACATTTAGTTTATTTCCAAATGTTTCCTATTAAGAGCATGTTTCAATAAACTCATGTGTGCATACAGTTTTACAAATTTAAAATAATTTTAAGCATTTTTGTAAGAATTCCTAGATTTGGGATTGCTTGCTTACTAGGCAAGGATATTTTATATTTTGATAAGTACTTTCAATTTTCTTCTAATACTTTCCTGGTGATTTCATTCATACACAGTGTTTGAGAGCATTTGATCTTTTGCTAATTCTGTATATCATCAATTCTTTTCATTTTTGCCAATATCATAGAAAAATTGAATTTCGCTTTTGTTTTAATTTGCAGAGATATTATTAGGATTTATTAGTGAAGTTCAGCATCTTTCATATGCATATTAAAATTTTTCATTTTTTTCTACTTTTTGGATCTGCTTGTTCATTTAGGTCAGTTTTATTTTATTGTTTATTTCTTACTGATTTGTAGAAGCTCTTTACCTGTTGTCTATGTTGCAAATATTTTTTCTAAGTGTATTTCCCGTGTTCTAAGCTTGTTTATGTCATCTTTAACAGATGTGCATTTATTTTTATATTGTAGTCTGTTTTTAAGCAGAATCTTTTTTGTAAATAAGAGTAATAGTTTGTCTACATAGCACTTACCATGTACCAGGCAGTATTCTAAATACTTTACAAATATTGACACATTTAGCTTTCATTGCAGCCCAGTAAGCCCCTGTTGTGATCATTTCATTATTCTCATTATAATAAATGAGAAAATTGAGGTACAGTGCCACAAATGCCTTAAACTGCTAAAGCTGTGACTAGAAAATAGTAAAAGTAGGACATGATCTTGGGCTGTTGGCTCAGAGCCTGTGCTTTAGCTTCTCTGTTACATTATCTCTTAAAAAAGAAATCTAAGTTCCTAGCTGTTCTTAGGCTGCTGGGATTTTAGAGAATACATCACAAAAGCTATGTGTGGGTGTGCAGAGTCTTGCCATATGTAGAGATGGACTGTTAACTGTACATGTGGGGCCATCCACGGGGAAATTCCCCTGGAGTTCCCATTTCCTCACCTGTTAAATTTTAATATCATTTCTCTTTTTCAACAGGAGATTTTGATGCTTCTTAAGATTTTAGAAGAAAAAAAGTTAATTAAATGTATATTAATAAAGATAATATTCTAAATGTTCACTCATGTTTACACATTTGCTAACTGTATTACAGATGACTTCATCAGAACAAGAATCTATTTGCAGAATAGAAAGGAAAGCATGGAAGCAATGAGAGCCTTAGGGTCTTAAATTTATCTTGCAGAGAGTAAAAGTGAGACCTAGAATGTCCAACAGGAGGCCCTGGAGTAAGAGACAATTTTAGCATATTTGCCCCGCAGGAGTTCTGTCCCAATTCCCACAGAATGAAGTGAAATTTGTGGGCTTGCTGCTTGAGCATATCAGTGTGGACACCCCAAACAATTCAAGATTACGCATCAATTTGTTTATACCACTTTTCATGTCTTATTGATCAAATTAGTCAACCATCAGATTTCCTCTTCATTTTATAACATATATATAGGCATTTGCATATGTCTATTTCAACTTTGCAAATGGTTTTATAGACATTTGAAATAAGCTATTAAGTTGGTTAAAATAATGGCATTTTATTAGCAACTAAAGTAATTGTATAATTTATATGCCTATATGATGTATATATGAAACTTTCTTTGCTTTTGATGATAAATATGTAAAATACAATTTCACCTTTTTCAGATAAAAGCATTGCTTATTCTCTTGCAACTTTAGTTCTTTTGTCCAAATATTTCTGTGGGTATAAGGCTGGTATATACATCTGGTAGTCTTCTCCAAAAGAATTGTTGTGTATTTTTGTAATCTATCATGTAGTCCCAGAGATAGTTGATTACAAAATTATTGTTTCTTGAAAGATCTGCGATATTATCTTTCAATAACATCTAGCATAAGAAGTTTAAAAGAAAAAATAACCAAATGCTTTAGGGCTTTTCAGCTTTATTCTTTCATGATTTCAGGGTGTGGGTGAAGCAGATTAAAATCGTATTGACTCAGAGTATTAAAGGATTGTATTTTTCTTAAAAACCTTCACAGGTGATTTCATTCCGTAAAGTCCCAAGACAATTATCAGTTCATTTTGGAATGGTGAGAAATCTGCTAAGCAAAAGTTTATCTGATAACATCAAATTGTGGATATCTTCTTCTTTACTATTACTATAGGAAACGAAAGTGAAAGTAATGCAAATGTAAAGAATACCTAAACTCAAGATACTAAAAACATCACTTTTAAATTTAAATCTAATTCTGTATCAATTTTACAAATTGAATATTGGTATTATATTGTTATAATATACAATATTTTGCTACTTGTATTTTAAAACAAAAGCAAAATGAGAACAGAACCACACCATTCCCCTACAGTTTTGCAAAAGTATGTATTGTCTTTATTCCTGTACATATATGTAACATTTTTTAAAAACTTGACTTTTTTAGGGCAATTTTAGGTTTATGGCAAAATTGAGAGGGAGGTACAGAATTATTCCACACATGGTCAGCCTCCCACATTATCAAGTCCCACACTAGAGTGGCACATACGTTACTATTGATGAACCTACATTGACACATCATTATCGTTAAAAGTCCATTAGGTTAGGGCTCATTCTTGGTGTTGTACAATCTGTAGGTTTGGACAAATGTATAAAGACATGTACCCACCATTATACTACATATGTATACATGTAGTATATACTCTTTATACATAGTGTGTATATATATATACATTATGTATTATACTATATATTATACATAGTATACATATATATAGTAATATACATAGCGTATATATATATATTTTCACTGTCCTAAGAACCCTCTGTTCTCTGCCTGTTCATCCCTCCCTCCCTCTCCTTTATAAATGTTTATGTCCTTTGCACATAGGCAGTGTATTGTCACATCATTTTCTTTCCTATGAGATTTGTTAGGTGTAGTTATTTCAGTCTGGCGGTATTTAGGTTTTGCTTTCTTGGTGTTCTTATTTTGAAAAACAGAGGAGGGTTGAGAGACAGTAGAAATGGCAGGGCTATACAAATTTTCATCTGCAACCAAGAATATGTATGACAACACTTTGCATAATATTTATACATGAACACACGTAATTTATAGAATTTAAGGCTAGATAGGACTTTGAGGGATCATCCAATCCAATGCATGAATATGTATTTATAAACATAAAACACATATGCGCTCTCTGCTGGCTCTGGTTTGGGTATTTCAGCTTTGGAATGCTCACTCACTAGGATTAAGGTTCGGCTGGACCACCCACAAAAGCAAGGCCACCCAAGGGAAAATTCGAGATCTGGACAAGCAGAGTTGCCAGACTTGCCTGGGAGAACAGCTGGCCATCCCGGCACCTGCTGCCCAGCTCAAGACAGCTGGGGATGAGGCCACGTGGGCCCAGCTGCTTTTAGGATGGGCACTGACAAAGACCACTGCCACTTGGCATCTGTCAACTCTTGCTATATTTGGCTGAGAAAGTTTGGCAGGGAGATGTGTGGTCTACCAAGTAAAATTTAGGCTGATTAGTCATAAACCAGGATCATAAAAATCACAGGGCTGGAAGGAACTTCCAGTGAAGTAGGTTTCAAACTTTGGTGTGAATTGGAATAATATTGGGAGCTTCCTGAAAATGTTCATTCCCAGACCCCACCCCTTACAGAGTCTGATTCAGTGGGTCTTGGGTGAAGCTGTTTACCATTTGCATTTTTTCAGAGACCTCCTCAGGTAGGTTTAATATATGTGAACCGAGGATTTTAAAAGTTCTAAGAAATATCACAGTTTATGACTAATCCGTCATTTGGGATGCTTGGTAAAAATAAGTATTACTAGGTCTTATCTTATTGACTCAAAAGGGCGTGTATGAATCTGTCTGTAATGGTGAATTCACCACTTGCTAAACACATAAATATAAGAGGATCATTAAAAATGACTATGTTTATATTTCTTACTGGTTAAATGGAGGGGATGAGTCTTACTACACATTTAAAAATTATTTACACATATGGGATCCCCTAGTTTTCTTTTGAAATAAACTCAAAAGAAAACTAAGGGATCCCATATGTGTAAATAATTTAAAAATTTTTAAGTTTAATTTTTTTTTCCACACAACATGTAGATCATTTATTTTCCTTCTAGTCCTGGGTTCAGTACATAGATGGCTTCTCTTCACCCTTTGGGTTGACAATTTTCTCCAAGTTGCTGCTGATGATATGATAAAGCTCAGCATAGAAGGCCCTCAGGTCCAGCACCATGGCCCTGAGCTCCCCATAGGCTGCCTCATCTGGCTCAAGCACCAAGGCCCGGTAATCCATTACATGAGTCTCCTCGGAGGCCTTGGCCACAGGATCCCCACGTTCTGAGAAGTACTTGGAAATGGTTGTCTGGAAAGCTTCCACTTTGATCTTGACGGCATTCACCCTCTCCAGCACCTTCTCCTGGATTGCTACCCCAAACTCATTTCCATCGTCAATCTTAGGGATCAGGTGTTGGATCCACGTAATCACCAGAATGCATTTCTGTTTGAGAGTCCAGACTTCTGGCTTAACCAGGGCAAAGAGGGACAGGACTTTCTCATTCCCAGGGAGAAATCCACACTTAGGGACGTCTTTCTTCTCCTGCTTATCTGTTTCCATCTCATCATCCTTGGGTGGAGGGTCTGGGATGGGGACGTCCAGTGGGGACCGGAGGGAAGTCAGGTCAGCCACATTGAGGGAGTCCTCTTGCAAGAGCTGATTCAGATATATGATTTTCTGTGGCAAGAATCTGCAGAGGAATTCTTCAGCCTCCTGGAAAAGATTCTGCCTGAAGACCTCCACCTGTTTAAGGGCTTCTCCGCTCAGGCGCACCCCACAAGGCTTGGCCATGCTGCTTCAGTCGCTACTAGAAGATCTCTTTTGAGATGTAAACAGCCTGATGAAACTCTAGGGATGAAGGTGTTGACTTGATGTATGCATCCCTTTGTATTTCTTTTTCTGTCAGTACTAAACAAATCAAAAGCTTTAAGGATTTGAAATGGAAACAGAACCCTGTGTTATAATTTTAGATGTGGTAAATCAGACTGTTCTGTTAAAAATATTGGATATTTCTGTATGGCCTTAAGGGCAACCTATATATTTTGCACAAGTTTCTCCAGTGCAAGAAGGAGAACAGCTCTGTTATCCACCATATTTTCAGAAAATGATCTGATCTGAGTGGCAGAAGTTCTGGGAAACTGTTTGCATACTCCTCTCTTCTGTCTAAGGATTTTTCTAGGCTTTAGAGCATCTATGAATTATCCCAAATTATATTAATGTGAGTTATATTTTCTGGAGAAGTGGTTCATGGCTTTCATTAGAATCTTAGAAAATGAAAAGCTAAGATTGACTGCATCTAATGGGATGGTAACTAAGCAGTGCAATCACCCAATACCATATTTTGTCAAGAAGGAAGGAGAAACAGCTATGTAAGACTTAAAACGTTCATGTTGGTGAATGTAATCTTTAAGCTTTCATAGTGTGATTTGTAATTTTTTTTTCTGTCAGGCAAGTAAAATATCTCAGTGAATCCAAATATAATTTTTAGTTTATAAAATAGTCTAAATGCAGCATGATAGTTTTGATATATATGCTTTGCATGGTGTGAAAGTCTGTGCAGCTTCTCTTTAATTTCACCATAAAGAGGTCCTATGCATTTGCCTCCCTGCTGTTTGATGCGGTTGGATCTTATCTATTCCACCATCTAATAATATGTGTCTCCTCCCCCCACAAACATGAGCATGCATACATTTTGAAGATCCCCATTTCTCTCTCTCTCATCCTTTTATTGCTGCTATGATAGATTTTTTTCTGATTCTTACTTGGGAGAGAATGGCAGAACGGGATCCCTAAAATCAGCCAAGCTGATTTAAAAATGTTTAAATTTTAAAACATTCCTGCTACATGGAAATGTGGAGCAGTTGATCTTCATGTGTCTGCAGTTCGAGAGTGATGGTTGTTCTGTTTGAGGAAGGAGGAAAAATGAAAGCAAGCAATCTAGTGCATGAGCATGAGAGAGGAGAGAGAGAGAGAGAGAGAATGAGAATGAATGTCTCCAGTATTTAAGCCCATTTATGAATGTTACTTCATTAAATGTTCCAAAATATATATAGCAGATTCATTGCAGGAATTGTTTAGAAGTTGTTGACATATTCTTTTGATCTGAAATCAAAATCTTAATTTTTATGTTGTTTTCAAGGCATTTTTTAGTTTATTAAAAAATGGTTTAAAGATAATTTTTTAATTCAACTCATATTCTTGGGTTTTTAGCAAATTTGGAGGAAAGCTGTTTTATTTTTATCAAAATTCCTCAATATGAGGCACAGATTGGTTGACTTTCATTGGCAACAAGGTTAGCGGTGGGGTTATGTCTTCCAACCACCTTTCCTTCCCAATTCTATCATGTGATATAATAAAAAATACGTTCGGGCTTCTTCCTGGGTTCCTGGCATAGAGTTCTTAAAACCCTTGGAAATTCCTCAGATATAACTGTCTTTTGTTATTCATCACAAGCCATCTGATTAAAGAGGTGGAACTTTCAATCCCACTCCCTAACCTGCTAAGAGAAGAGGGACTGGAGATTAAATTTAATCATGTGACCAATATTTTATTCAATCACATATACAAAAGAAAAGCCCGTATAAAAACCCTGAAACAATGAGGCTCAAGGAACCTCTGGGTTGGTGAGCCCACAGATGTGTTGGGAGCCTGGAAAGGATATGGAAGTTCTGCACAGGTCCTACGCCCCTAGCCTTGCCCTATGCGTCTCTTCCATTTGACTATTCCTGAGTTGTATCTTTTATAGTAAAACTGTAATAATAAATAGGGCACTCCTGAGTTTTGTCAGTCATTGCAGTGAATTATATAAAACTGAAAGAGGATCATGAGAACCCTGCATTTATAGCCAGTTGATCAATAGTATGGGTGGTCCCCATACCTCAGAAGTGTGAAACTTCTGAAGTGAGGGTAGTCTCGTGAGACTAAGCCCTCAAACCTGTGGTAACTGACATTAACTTTAGGTAGCTACTGTCAGAATTGAAGCGAATTGTAGGAATCCAGTTGGTGTTTGAGTGGAAATTACATACGCCACAACATATGAAATGTCTGGAAATAGAAGCAAGTCAAAGGGAGCTATGTTTTTAGGTTTCTGGCACCTTACTGATAACACCAACCCTTTTGACCAGGATGTCTCTGCAGTCATGGGCTCTCTATTAACATGAATTTCCTGAGTCCTGACTATGTGCAAATCACTATTCTAGAACTGCAAACGCCAGAAAGATGAATTAGACATTGCTTCTGTAATGAAGAATCTGAATTTACTAGCTAAAGAATTTCACATTCAAGAACTATACCATAAAATAGACAGATTATGTGGTAAAACCAAGGTATCATAAAAATGTGTAAAAGTGAACAGTTCCTGTAAGTTGGGAGAAAGTGAATACTACTACTACTACTACTACTAATAAACAGCTTCTGTGAAGAATGCTTATTTGGACTTGTCTTTGAAAAACTGAGCCAATTAAAGACATCCAAAGAGATACAGAAAAGCTCACCACCAATATGTTGAAAAATTTCTCACCTATATAACACTAGGTTATATAATTAGGAAGAAATAAGTCAAGAATGAGAGTTACTTTATGAAAGAGCAGATCCATTCAAGATACTGTTTCTTTTCCATTGGCACATTCTACAGTTTTAGTGTGGCACATTGAAGTATGCTACAAATGTTTGTTAAATAAAAGAATAAATAATCTTTGTTTTAAAAAGTCTTGTGCAAGTGCCATACTGAAGCTGGTGATAAAATGGCAAGAAAAAGAAAGACAGGGTCCTGGCCCTCATCTAAGTTTATGATTTGGGGTGAGAGAAACAATATTCTACTAATTTTACAGATACATATAAAATTATAGCTGTTGAAGTGCTATCAAAAAGAGGCTGTACAAGAGTGAAAACTGAATGAATGTGATGGTAGAGACTGGTTTAGTCAGGAAGGTTTGTCTGAGGAAATAAAAGAGTTAACTGGGTGAATGAGGCTAGAGTTTCATGCAAAGAGAATGGGACAAGGGTGATAACAAGGAAATAATGGGGCAATATAAGATTGGAGAAAGAAGATTAAGACTTCACATAGCAAATCATTATTTAAGACCAGTGGGGATCCATTAGTGAGTTAAACAGAAGGGGCTAGGTGACATGAGCTGTGTGTTTTTAAAAGATGCTTGGTGGATCCTGGGCTAGTCTTCTAACCTGTGAGTCATTTTCTTGATCTGCATAATGGAAATATTAACACTACCTTGCAGTGCTATTATGAGCATTTAGGAATAATAGATATGCATGTCCTGAAAAATATAATAGGGCTAGAGTAAATGATAGTTCTTTATCATTGGTTAATATTGGGGTGTCATGAAGATTGAATGGAATGACAAATGTGTTGTTCCTGAAAAAAATAAATGTTAAGTATGTATTTATCTCCTTCTCTTCTCTTCCTTGCATAGCATATTGAAAAGAGCATAAGAGTTTGAGTCAGAAAACTTGAGTGAGAGCTTTGATTATGATTCTCACCTTAGGCAGCTCCTTCTCTGAGGCTCAGTGCCTTCTCTGTAAAATCAAAACAATAATTCCTGACATATCTACTTTAAAATCATTGACAAGCTTTGGCAAGATAATGTATCTGAAAGTTCTCATAACCTGGGAAAATTTATAGAATAAATTGTGTTTTCATTATTTGACCTTCTCTTAATATTGGCAAGCATTTCAGTCTAATTCTGACAGTAAAGCCATCAATCACTGTGAATTTCTTCCCACTTCCATTACTTACAAATTCATCAATGTAGAGATTTCAGACTTTTGGTCAAATGATCCCACACCTGGGTAAACCTGTCAAACTGTCACCTTTGCATCTCACCTCTTAACTTTTCTGGCCTGTAGTGCAAATAATTTTTTTTAATGCCCAGTGTTCATCAGGAAAGACTAAGGTTTCACACTCTTTCAGTTCAGGTGCTAAATTCAATAATACCGAAATCCCTATTTTATTACTTTTCTTCGACTTCTGACTTCTTTCCTGAACTGATGTGATTTCTTCCTCAGTTAAGTTATAAAAGAGGACCAGACTTTTCACCTTGAAACCTAACCATTCTCTTGCTTGATTTTCTGCACTATTTATCAGATGTTCTTTTCATTCTTATTTTAGGTAAAAACGTAACATGGCTGTATTATATCTCATTTCCTTGATGAATAATTTATGTTTTAGGCTTATTAATTCTTTGAATTTTATTTTATCATGTTACCTGAGGCTTTTAACCTTTTATGAAAAAGTTAAGAAAAATATAGACACATAAAATTTTTGTATTTGTCTGCTAAATGATCTTGTAGCAAAGGAAAGATTAATTAAAGAACACGTCTGTGTTCAAATTTAAATTATGAAGAAGATATCTGTCAATACATTCAAAAGTGGAAGTTGTAATGTTATATAGTTTCACAAATGAGAGAAACAAAGTATACTACAGTGGAGTTGTGATTTACTTTGTATTGTCTTTCCTTGAATTCCTACTACCCAAATATGAAGTTTTAGTAAAGCATTTTATAACCTTAAGAATATAAATTTATATAGAAATCTCCTATTATACTTGAGGTTATAATATGAATGCAGGAAATAGAGCCATTAGTTTGCTATTGATTTTTTAATTTTTGACAGAAAAAGATAGCTTAAAAATTATTTTCATGTTTGCTCTTAGAACACAGCAGGCTTCTGTGTACATTCATTAAACACTCTGAGGAGGGAAGGATATGTCCTGAAGACATTATTTAGAAAGCCAGAAATATTCTTCAGTAAAGACAGTAAAGATGATAAGTGAAATATACAAATTTGCTAAAAAACTGAGAGGTACTGAAACCCAATTACCCTTTATAATCTTTTCATGCTTTTTGTTACCATAGGAATGTATAACTTGTGCAGTACAGCCTGTGCTGATAATACTAAGGAGTTAATGGGCATTCAATCTAGAGAAACATTGACCTGTTTGGATCCAGTGACTAAATCTATTTTTCTCCTTTATTGTAGCGAAGGAGGACAACCAACAAGGAATCTTGGGATCCCTCTCCCTATACCAATAGGTTTTACTGATCCCAGAGGTCAAAATTGGAGTTGGCTTCTGATATGGTTTGGCTGTGTCCCTACCCAAATCTAACCTTGTAGTTCCCATAATCTCCATGTGTTGTGGGAGGGAGCTGGCAGGAGGTAGTTAAACCATGGGGGCAGTTACCTCCATGCTGTTCTCGTGATAGTGAGTGAGTTCTCATGCGATCTGATGGTTTTATAAGGGGCTTTCCCCCTGCTTTGCTCAGCACTTCTCCTTGCTGCCACCATGTGAAGAAGGATGTGTTTGCTTTCCCTTCCACCATGATTGTAAGTTTCCCAAGGCCTCCCCAGCCCTGTGAAACTGTGAGTCAATTGACCTCTTTCCTTTATAAATTACCCAGTCCTGGATATTAGCAGCATGAGAACGAACTCATACAGCCTCTTTTTTCCTCTTTAGCTCTCTGTTGTTCACTCTTACCACTATCTCCAATTGTGCAAACAATAAAATAACTCACATTCAAAAAACTACTTTGTACTGGACACCTGCTATATGCCTTATGTCTAGCCCTAGTAATAATACTTTGATATTAGTACTATTATTAGTTTCATTTATATTCATAGGAAACCAGAAATTATGGAGTTTAAATAAGTTTCTAAGGATCACATAAGTAGGAAGTGATGGAGTTGGAATTCAAACCCAGGTATTGCATGCCAGGAAAATTAAATTGAGGCAAGAATGACATAATGCATCAAAGGAAGCCACCAATAACTAAAAGAGCAAACAAGAAAGAGATTTAGAGACTTCCATGGAAAACAAAACAAAATAAATCAAAAAACAAAACTTTTATTCTTAACATGGGATAGAATCATTTCTGTAATGGGTGCACTAATTTTTTTACAATAGATGAAAAATTTAATGAACCACAATGAAAGAATATTAGAAAAACACAGTCATGTATTTAGAAATAGCATGACACATAGCAACACCTGAGTAGGGGATGTCACAGTTTCCTTCTTTGAAGAGTATAAGGGAAATATAATACAACTCTCTGAGTTTGAAATTGTGAAGTTTCATGTGAAGATAAAGTCCATTGCTGTTCTACAATTCTTCCATTAAAACACAGTCACAGAAAGGGGCAAATAAAACCTTGCAAAGGCAGCTGCACGGACTAGAAATTTTGATCTTTAATATAAAGCTGTGAATATGGTAATGCTTGTCAAGAAAATTTAACTTAAGCTACAAATAATGTCATATAGGGGCAAAAGGAAGGCACCAGTAACTAAAATAGGAGCTTAGAGGCTAACCACACTGGTCTGAATGCTGGTGAGAATTTGAGAGTCCTCCAAAATACAATAAAGAGCAGCCCCACTGTAGGGCTGTGTAAGCTGTTGCATGAATGAAAGCCATGTTTCATGAACTCTATTTCGTAAGTGGAAACTGGGCTTTAGACTGGCTCTCTTGTCTCTCATTAGATGAAATGTTGGAATTTTTGATCCAAATTAGAGGTATACTTAAGAAATGGACATTAATAGAACCAATCAACAGTTTTAAAGAAATGCATTCAATTAATGGAACTATTTCTGGTGAAACGTGATACAAGCTTTTGAGAAATTTAAATGTTGGTCACTTTCTTTTAATAGTTAGCTTTGATACAAGTTTCTCCGATAAGAAATATAAGAACTCTGAGAAATCAATTTATGTTTTCATCAAGGTTGTAAAATAGCCTTTAAGTTTATAGAAAGTCTGATTCCAGCAACTAAAATATATTTACTTGTAGTATTCTGAAATCTCCAAGAGAAGCTATTGTATTACAGAGAGAATAGTGGACTGAGAAACAGATGGTGTTTGTTCCAGGTAGGGCTTTGTCTCATTTGGATATGTGGTAACAAGTGAATCACATCAACCTCTTGGGGCTAATTTTCTCATCTGTGAAAAAGTGTGAGTACTTTTTAGGTCATCAGTGAGGAATGTTTTGTTTCTAAGACTGCATAAAATTCCTCACTGTTATTCATGAGTTGAAAGTTAATAATTTGCATGGATAATTTTCTGTTTGATAAAAAGCACTGTTACCAAAAAGATGATTAAAATCACTTTGGAATTCTTATATAGTAAACTTGAGGAGCAGATGCCTGTTACTAATTGTTCTTGGCAGCTCACAGTGAGTTCCAAATGACAGAACTAGAAGCCATCACAAACAGTATTGGCATATTTAACAAGAAGCTCTGTTGATATTTGGTTTTGCAAATTCACATTAATGGAGACACCTGTTTAGAATATCAGCTACTACTGCGCAACCCCGTGGAAAGAAACAACAGAAAGAAAATTATTTAATTGGAATGAGTGTTACTAACTGCATAAACATTCTGTGGTCAATAATTTCAGTCCCAGCTGGAAAATAAATTGAAGAGACAGTGCATTAAGCAGATGATTGTGCTAAAGTAGCTTGCTGTATTCTTGTAAACAAGCATCAACTGATTTTTTTCTTTCTTATTCCTTTTACGTCATTGGTTCTCAAACACGGCTGTGCATTGTTGTTACCTGGGGAGCTTTAAAAAGCCCCCATTTCCCAGACTGCACTTCCATACAAATTAGAGCTGAATTTCCAGGCCTGGACTTCAGGCATTAGTGTTTTTAAAATTCCACACAGTATTCCAATGTGTAGAGTTGTTTGAGAACAACTATTCTACAGAAACAAGTTGTTTTTATATTCAAAGCTCTTATAAGTCTTAAAATGGGCTTGATTTAAGAAAAATAAAGGTCTATAAAAATTAAAATTAAAAGGCTTAAGAAAAATTAAGGTCCATAAAAATTAAAATGCTCATGATTTCAGGACCAGTGGAAATGCTTATTCAAGACATTTGTTTCCGAAATGTCAGTAGTAGATGTTATATTTTTACATAATTATTTCATTCACATTAATGTTGCTCTACTATGATATTGTAATAAATACAGATGTTAGCTTCATGGAAAAACTTAGAAATTTCCTTTTATTTAATTCAGCCTTAAAGAAATTTGACTCATGTTTACTAGTTAACTCTGAAATGCACTGAACTTTTCAATTTGTCATTAGAGTTCTTAGCTTTGCTAAGTCCACCTGAATATATTCATTATTAAGCTGAATCTTTTGATTTAACTCCCATATTTCAAGCTGTCTGTCTCTTGTCCATGGAAGACTTCCAGGTCTCCAGCTGCTAGGCTTTGCTTTCTTCCAAAAAGATTGTCATCTCCTTGGTCTTTGCTTCCTTTAATGCAAGTTCAAATTTTTGTTAAGTCAGACATATCGGGAACTTTAATTTTAACATTTTTTGCAGTTATATCTTTTTTTTTTTGCAATTGTGTCCTATGATTCCTGTATTAAATCAATTATTTCCCTTTTTAAAAACATATCCAAAGAATCCTTTCATTTCCTGTACCTTTTCAAACCTCTGCATATCCTGGGTGTCAAAGTCCATATTTTTCAAAGCAGCTTTGTTCTGAAATCCTGCTCTCCACAACTATGTCTTTTTTTCCCCAAGTGATTCCAATTGTTTCATTTTTTGTTTTTCCTTTCAACTTCTATTTTAGGTTCAGGGGATACATGTACGGGTTTGTTACATAGGTAAATTGCATGTTGTGGGCATTTAGCGTACAAACTATTTCATCACCCAGGGAATAAGCACAGTTTACAATAGGTAGTTTTTTGACCCTTACCCATCTCCCAGACTCCCCTCTCAAACAGACCCCAGTATCTATTATTCCCATCTTTATGCCCATTTGTACTCAATATTGAGCTCCTACTTGAAAGTGAAAACAGGCGGTATTTGGTTTTCTATTTCTGTGTCAATTTGCTTAGGATAATGGCCTTCAGCTTTATCCACATTGCTGCAAAGGACATGATTTCATTCTTTTTTATGACTGTGTAGTATTCCATGATGTATATGTACCACATTTTCTTTATCCAGTGCGGAGACCAGCTTGGTCAGGGAGACCCTAACCCAGCGGAGCTAGAGGAATTAAAGACACAGACACACACACACAGAAATATAGAGGTGTGAAGTGGGAAATCAGGGGCCTCACAACCTTCAGAGCTGAGAGCCCTGAACAGAGATTTACCCACGTATTTATTAACAGCAAACCAGTCATTAGCATTGTTTCTATAGATGTTAAATTAACTAAAAGTATCCCTTACGGAAACGAAGGGATGGGCTGAATTAAATAAATAGGTTGGGCTAGTTAACTGCAGCAGGAACATGCCCTTAAGTCATAAATCTCTCATGCTGTTGTCTGTGGCTTAAGAATGCCTTTAAGCGGTTTTCCGCCCTGGGCGGGCCAGGTGTTCCTTGCCCACATTCCCATAAATCCACAACCTTCCAGCTTGGCCATTATGGACATGTTACAGTGCTGCAGAGATTTTGTTTATAGCCAGTTTGGGGGCCAGTTTATGGCCAGATTTTGGGGGGCTTGCTCCAAACAATCCAGTCCACTATTGATGGGCACCTAGGTTGATTCCATGTTTTTGCTATTGTGAATAGTGCTGTGATGAACATGTACGTGCATGTGTCTTTATGGTGTAATGATTTATATTTTGGGGGGTATATACCCAGTAATGGTATTGCTGGTTCTAATGGTAGTTCTATTTTAAGTTCTTTGAGAAATCTCCAAACTGCTTTTCACAGTGGCTAAACTAATTTACATTCCCATCAGCAGTGTATAAGCATTCCCTTTTCTCTGCAATCTCACCAGCATCTGTTATTTTTTGACTTTGTGGCAATGGCTATTCTGGCTGGTGTGAGTTGGTGTCTCATTTTGTTTTTGATTTGCATTTCCCTAATGATCAGTGATATTGAGTATTTTTTCATATGCTTGTTGGCCACGTGTATGTCTTCTTTTGAGATGTGTCTGTTTGTGTCTTTTGCCCATTTTTTAAACGAGGTTGTTTGTTATTGGCTTATTGATTTCCCTCCATTATTAATACATCAAGTTTAGATTCACATTTACTTTTAAAAGATAGTGATTCATTTTCAAGTTTTACTTACAATGTTACTTCCAGAGGAAGTTTTAAATAATATCTCTTATTTCTACAGCTGTATTTTTTTAAAATGAGAATTCACAATGTTGTTTTTTCTGCAAGTATTTGACGTGGAAAAAGAGAAAGAATATTTGATTTTCAGAGGAAGTTGTAGTTTAAGTACCTTTGAAAACCAAGAGATGATAAACTGGCCCAACAAGTAGAGAAGTGACCTGAGAACACACACAAAAAAATTGTCATGAGCTAGAAGACAGGACTTTTAACTCAAAAACTTAACTGGGAATAAAAAAGAAGCATCTAGATTCTTCCAATAATTTTATTAGATAATCTATTCTGAGGAAGTCTTGGAAGAAAAATTAAACAATTTAAGAATAAAAAAATAAGAAATACTTTGATAGAAATAGCTGGCCATTATGAAATTAAATTATGATTACTCAAATGAAGAAGGAAACTTTATAAGGTGATGTGATGCAAATTTGACAGTAGACAATCAGTAGTGATATTAAAACCACATTGTCAACTCAGCAGCCATACACTCCCCATTCATCCCTAAATAACTCCTAATATACGACAACAACATAAAACATGAACAACATTCATTTGCTTTATTAATAATAATTTCATTGGCTATTTTCTGGTCAGTGAGGTCAGAAGGATTGGGCACATTGAATTGCAAATCACCTAAGGGCCAGAATCAAATGTCCTATGACTTATGTATTTTTCATGAGAATTGGCAGAGCAGAGGTTTTTGAAAACACTATCTTTAACTACCTTTTATTGTTTTTCCCCATTAGAAGTTACTCCACCCCTGGTTCAATTAATGGGTCTTTCCCCTTCAAGATGGCATGTTTCTCATGGTGCTTTGACTTTTATAGTTTAAAAAAAAAAACCTCAGAAGCTTGAAGGAATGTCTGCAGTGCATTTCTCTTGTGATTAGTCCACCATGGCCAGGTACTGGACCCTCAGGAGAGCAACATTAGGGGAGGAAGATATCCAACCTTTTCTATTTCCCCTTATCGAGGGTTTTTCTTCATATACGTATAATTATCACCCAGAGTGGAGAATTATATAATTATATAAATGCAAGAGGCCCAAGAAATAAAATATTCAATAGTAGGCAACCCAAATTTGGGAAAGCTCTGAATGTAGCATATCTGTAAAAATCAAAATGCTTATTTCTGCAGGATATTGCCCTTATCAAACAGCTTTTAAATAAATTATCTCCTTTGATTCATATGCAAACATCTTGAGATATAGGGCATGTTTTATTATGGCCACTTTATAGATCTAAAACTGTAGAAAGGTTAGGAAAACTATCCCCAGGTCCTAAAGCAGTAGTTGCAGCATGGGGCCTCACATTCCAATTTTGGATTATTTTTCTCAAGTTCTTTCACTGCGTCATGCAATACAGCAGTCTGTGCCTGTCACTAGAAGTCAGTAGAAATGAAGGTGAGTCTATTAGACTATATGTCTATTAATCTCTAGGTGTATCTATGAGCTTGTTGTGGCTAGATCCTATAGAAATTTTACCAACAGGAATAACTAAAAGCATATATTTTTTTTCAGATACTATGAAACTCTGTGAAGCAAGGATTAGAAAAAAGATTCAAAATACATTCCGAGGAGCAGATCTTTCTGTGGTAACACTGCATTCCAAATGTGCGAAAAAGACAGGGAAAAACATGAACTGCAATAAATTACGGCTAAAGTGAGTTAGCTTATTAACTTCCTTTCTCTGTTTCCTGGTGACTGGCAGCTAGCGGTTCTTAGAAGCTTTCAAAACCGGGAATGATAGGCATCCTCAAGTTCAAAGACTCCCTTGAAACTTTTGGGCCTACAACTGCAGCTAGAAGTCCTGTTGAAACAGGCTTCCCTGGGTAATTTCCAACACAGTTGGATACACAGCGCTGTGAGAACTAGCTCCCTCAAGGTTGTTCATCACTGACATTCTGGTCTTGTCTAGATTTGGGGAAACAATGGCTGCCTGTGAAACTGGCCTGGGGCGTGTACACCTGGCATCTCTAACCTGAGCCACCTGACCCTGGTCACTACCACAGTACTCAGAATCTCTCCCCTACACAGGTGTCAGGCCCCTCCTGGCATGCCTTACACATAATTAGAAAACACATCTCTACAGGCAGCTTGAAGGGGATTTTCCCTTAGAGAAGAAAACCCTGGCCACCTTTTTGAAAAATCCAAATCCAGAAAACTTTTTTTCTTACATGAGTCAGTTCCCTTGAGATAGATTGTCATCACTGATATTAAATCATATAAATATGGAAGATCCATATGTTCGCAATAATTGGCTAAGTAACCCGTGTTTAGGAACAGAGAAGAACTCTGCTGAGAAATAAAAGATGTTATGGTCTTTTCTTGATTGGTTCTAGTGAAAATGAAATTGGTAGAGGCAGCTTAACTCCTACGGGAATTATTCCCTTTCATTTTAGTGAGGAAGGTGGGTATGCTGAGCAAGAATGATCGTATCTGAAAGATGAAACACCGCTAACAAAAATTCCAACTTTTGCTTCTTAGTTCTTTGAAAAATAGCAAAGAATTCTGTAAGCAACTCTTAGTGGGGCTCTTCAAATAACAAAATTAGTGGCTTGGTAACGTTTTAATAAAACTCATCTGCCTCCATCAGGACCCAGGTTTTAGAAGCCAGTTGTGGAGTGCTTCATTAGATTTCACACACAGATCACTCTTCACCAGATGTAGTTTAGCTAAGACCAGAATCTGAAAGAGGTTATATCATAGGAACACTGGCTCTTGCTGAGAGCAGGTCCAAATACTGGCTATGAGAGAGTAGTCTTTGAGCCCACAAGGACCTTCATCTCAATGGATCTCAGGCCAAGGACGCTTCAGAAAAGAGATTGCTGAAAAAGGGACTGATTGCTCCAATGTCTAGCTCATTGTTAATTGGATTTAGTGTCCAGATCAAAGTCTTTCCTTCTATGTCCTTATGTAATCCCAAATGGTGACAGAATTGATTTATGGTCATGAGAGATCCTTCTCTACATTTGGTACTAGAAATTGGCAGCTGCTCTGAGAATCCTGAGAGGCAGAGTAACTTGAACACGGATTTGGGAAATTTACAAATTCTTCTGATGGGAAAATGATAGAGGGATATTAAATATCTTACAGAAAGTATAAGATACCTTGTCGTCTTTCTACAGACTAGATGGCTTAAATGTGATGTGCTGACATCTCTTCAAAGGCAGGTATATGTATTTCCAGTGTCTTTCAGTGAGAAATGTTCCTTATTTTTTTAGTATATTTTGCATCATTACCATGATAGTTTTCCTTCAGTCAAAACTACTTATTAAAAATTTATTTAAAAATAATTCAAAGTGCTTGTTGGAACTACAAAAATGTGCAATATTATTTTACGGTTCCTATATTAAGATGCTTAAGTTTAGTTTGCCAAGTAACCTGAAAGATCACTTGTTCTTGTGTGTTTTATAATCCACTCTAACACATGTGGGACTGAAGTTTGGAGCCAAAATATTTTTTTTCCCTTACTGTTAATTCATTTGCAATTCTAGACCTCCAACTGAGGTGAAACAACTTGCTTGTTGTTCCTCAGAATCTTTCAGTTTTGTGAAAGATAATGGTAAAGACAGACCCAACTAGCCCAAACATATCAATACGCAATGTAATAGATTTGTTTTCTGCTTATTATACTAGATTCAAATATACTTCTTGAAGAGCATGTTTCTTAACCACATTTTCATCAGAATTCACTGGAAGAAACATCATTTTGATTCTTTAATAAAGTGCTGTGTTTCTCTCAGGGTATAAACTGAATTAGTTCAATGCATTTCTTGAATTATCTGGAAGCAATTTTTTCCTAGGCTAACATATATAGAGACACTGCCCCACCCCTGCCCCCCACCCTGCCCCCATGCACACATGTTCCTTTTTCACTCTTAGGCTTTTATTCCTTGTTAGAAATTTTATAAAGAATATAATAAATATTTAATTTTTTCCTGAGTTATTGTTTCTGCAACTAGAACGCAAGCTCTATGAATGTAGGGGGTGTTGTCTATTTTGTTTATTGTTGCTCTCCAATACCAAAAATGTACCTTGTCCATTGTAGATGTTCAATAAACATTGGTTCCATGAATATGTGACTATTCCTGAAACTTGAATTCACTGGACAATGGCACAAGCTCTTCGCCGGTTCTTGGTTTATGTATCTGGACAGTCATTATAGCTCTAAACTAAACAGCAGAGAAAGGCTGGTTTATTCCACTAAAGAACCAGTAAAATATAATAATTAGGGTTTTTCAGGAAAAATATGATGGGAAGTTGAGCCTCCCTTCAAAGAAACTGAATTAGCCTTGTCAATTATGTATTGAGATTTAAAATGGGTTGCATATTATGGCAACTTTCTTTTTAAATGGAGCCTTTGCATCAATATAAACTTCATGGTTAAAAGTCACAGTAAGATATCTTGCTAACACATTTGAAATCTGACTTTTCCCCCATTAAGATATATCCAAAGAATAGTCAGATAATTTTTTAAAAGGTATAATGTTTAATTGTTTCAAGGAATACAATGAGGCTGTTCAAAAGTACTTAAGGTAAACACATATTTAAATATCAAATAATAAAATATTTTGGTATGTGCTTATTCAAATTTAACTCATAGTACAAATCTGGTTAAAAGAAAGGGATTACTGTAAATGAAGGGTAATTAAGGCACTACATTCTGCAGAATTGGGTTCTACTCCATTTTGAAACAAAATGTTGGTAATTGAATCAAAATCACAGCACAGAGAACAATAATGCTATAACATGTGCTGAAGTCAGATTTAGAATCACAATGAAAAGTATTGTTTCCCTGTTGCTGTTTTTTTTGTTTTGTTTTGTTTTTAGTGTTAATTATTTAGTAAGTAAAGTTTAGAGAACTAAGAAAGTAATAACTATAGACAATGAATTTGCTTGACATTCCTATGCTCTTCACATACATTTGCAGTAGTTTTATCACAATACAGAGTTTCTCTAATGGGCACAGAGCCATTCATTTGAGAGACCTTTTATGTGAGGGTAATATTTTACTTACTTGTAGCAGCAGCTTTGCAGCTGCTTTCTTCATACAGATTCTGTAATTATTGAATTTGGGGAACAATCAATCACTAAAATTAAGAAAATGACCCCAGCATACATTCACTAAAAAGTCAAGAGCATTTTTTTGTTGTTTTTCTCAAGGATCTACTTACTATAATTGTTGGAAATATGGCTTACTAATAATTCAGAAAAAAGGGTTGATTCAAGGAGAGGCTGGGTAAAAATGTTCCTTCCAGGGTTGATGAATCTACACTTGCCTCAACAACCTGAATATCCTTCCCATAAAGGACAATAAAAGAACTATGGCTAACTGATTTACAAAGAGATTTTGGAAGCAGGCAATTCTTTCTGTCCTGGAACAAATCTTTTCTAATGCATCCAGTCACATCAACAGAGATAGAAGTATTTGTCAAATGCATTTTTTTTACATAGTAAGATGCTACTCCTTAAAATGTGATACAATTAAAATTATGCAGAATGAATTATGAAGTGGTGCAATATTTGCTTTTATCTTTTCAGTCCCAATTTAAACTCTGCTTTACTTTGATAATAGTTAAAGTAATATTGCTAAATAGAGGAATTTGAATATAAAATTTCACCACCTGATTACAATTAATATTGTACATGTATGTGAATAATTTTTGACTTTTTTGTCCTTGTGTGGCACAGAACATGGGACTATTGTTCTGAGAAGTAAAACCTGAATGTTCCAATAATGGAATTTTTTTCTGCCTAACTTTTGCTATGTACAAAATAAGGTCATCAGTTTTTTACTGAGATGCCTCTCTGCTTTTATCTTCCTCTTTTCTTCTAGTTATAATTCCTATTATTCCAAAATTCAGAAAGGAACAATTCCCAAAAATGTGTTCTGAGATGATTGTTCATGCTGTTTTAAGCTTCCTTTTCCTATAATCCTAGGCTAAAACATTGCAAGAATCAATGTGTAACTAATACTTTGGGGAAAACATTAATTTCTACCACTAGCTTTGTAGGTTTTACATAATTCTTTATGGCACCTAATTATTATTATCATCACTAGGACAATATTGTTCTAAACCTTTTATGCCTCGAGGATTGAGGATCTTTCAGTCATACTGATTAAACAGCTTTGTTTTATGTGCAAGTGGCACATGTCTTATGTGGATTTTGTGAGATAATGGACAGGTTTTCAAATTCATTACTATGCTTCTGTGGCAATAAACATTTTCTAATTATATTCTCCTCTGATTTAAAAGAAAGCAGTAATGGTTTTAATACAAATAAATTATTTATAAATTGATAGCTCAGAAAAGTGCATGAGAAACATGGTTGTTTCCATTCCTTATTATTAGAAAGAGGCTCACACAAACCTTTGATATCAAAGTACTCAGCTGCTACCTCTATCATCTATGTTTTTTTCTGTATGCCAAATTGTCCCATATAGCTATAATTATCTTTAAATAAATTGTCAGAAAGAAATAAAATAACTTAGGAAAATGTCTCCTACAGCAAAACAGTCTTTGTAAATATTGCCTTTCTCATTCCCCTTCTCAGAAACTCAGTATCTAGCAAAGAATTATGTGCAAATGTCTCCCAACATATGTCACAATTGGTAAGTGAATTAAGGAATAATACTTTCTGATCATGTCATATTCAGCATTTTTCAGGTGAATGTAAAAAAATAACATCAACAACCAAAACTTTATAATGTTAAGTTTCAGTACCACCAGAGATTCTGGTAAAATATTAGCATGGACAAAGTAATGAACAGGTCTGTGTTTGAAGTCAGAAAAAAATCTATATATCCTGAATTTTCTAAATATTTCTTTTTGATGAGAAGTTTAGACATGGTGGGAATAAGTTTTCCTTCAAATGCTCTTATAAATCTATGTTTTCTTTGCCTTGATAAACTATTTTGGAATTATTAAATTGCAGCTGCAGAGGAAAGTGATTTCAGCAATACTGCACTCTGTATGCTGTCCAGAGTTTCAGTCAATGGGGGATTCACATACTGTGATATCAGGGATCTGATTTGAGGATCTGAAGAGGGAGACCTGGGAGAAGAAAGGATCCAGTGCTTGCTCATACATTATTTTAAAACCTTTATTAGCACTTTAGATGTCAGAGTAATGAGAAAGAGGGAAAATACCTTTGTCTCTAGTACATAATGAATCTACCCCTTAATAGACTGGTCATGCACAATGAAACATAACTGTGGTTTACTTACATATGTCAACCGACATTTCCCCAGGCTGCTTTGTGTGTAGGGAAGAGACGAGCTTTTGGAAATTAGGAATGTACTAGTAAGTAGGAGAGCTTGCAAATTGTCCCAATTGCAATAGGACTTTATTTCAGTCCATATTGGGTTCTAATAAAAGTATTCCCAGTGGGCCCAATTCAATAGCTTCCTGCCATAAAACATCTACATATGTTGCAGGAAGCATCAAGAGCAGAAGACCCTTGAGAGGAAAAAGTCAATAATAACGTATCTACAGAACCTCTCAGTATCAAGAAAACATACACCTGCACTTCCGCAGCTGGTGAACCAGAGATGCATCAGAATGCCACAGCTCTGTGTCTGTGCCCTGGACACATAGAAAGAAGAGTAAATATTGATGAATAATTTCCACTTCCCTTTACTTCCCTATTTTTGTGTTTAATACTCTAGGCAAGGGCAGCATTAAAAAAGCAGAGCCAATAATGACTTATGATGTGTGATTAGAAGGGGAAAGAGAAATAGACCCTCACCTTCAAATGGACCCTCCTTATGTTGTTTGAACTTTCCCATATTAAATACTTCCTAAAGTACCTTCATAAAAACTGATCATTTGAGCCGAGATTGGTACCTTTTCAGGAAGCCATCGCATTGGTTTCCTGCGTGTGCCACTCATGGCTGCCACATTCAGTGTCTGGTAGAATGGAGATCAAGTAGACAGAGTTTAATGAAGCAATAAATTGGGAGACTGTGCATTCTCCTAAACCAGGAAGAATACACAGGCAGCTGCTCCTCCCATACAGGACTCTCTAAGCACTGGGTCTCTGGGTTTTAGAGCAAGAACTAAACAGAAAGGTGGTTGGATCAAACCTCACCATCATTCTACCATTGATTGGGATCAGCCCTGACTAGAGGCATTTGTCAATGGTAAGTGAAAGTTATTTTGCTGAATCAAAGAGAGAAAATATCCAGAAAATATAGCAGCAATGCTTGAAATATCTATGTAGAGTCCATACTTAGCCCACCCAATGATGTCAGTCATTACTACAGATTTTAATAAAATAATTAAAGGCTTTTACTCCAATATCACCCTACTAAAACTACTTCCTTAAAAGTTATCAATGGCCTAATAATTAGTATATTTAATTATCTTTTTCACTCTTCATTGTTTTTTACACACACATTTTTATCCCTTACATTTTTTAATACTTCAGTGCCTTTGTCCATGAAAAGTGCCAGAGAGAGATAGTGTCTTGAATCTTGACTCAAAAGTGATCTCATGGATTTAAAACTACAAATTACTTTTCTGCTATGCATCAGAAGGCAGTTGCCCTCAGGCAACCTGATGCTTACTGCTTAAAAAAGCAATTAATTAGGCAATTGATTAAGAAAAGAAAGAAAAAGGAAGACTTCTTGCAGCATTACTCAGAACATATGTACATCTGTCCATGAGTTGATGGACTCCAGACGAATTTCCTTCTTCTCTATGCACAACTCAAAGTTAAAAATAGGTGGAGTTCAACTTCTAACCTGATGTGTATATTGTTGTTGCCTTTCTTCCATTGGTGAAACATACACAGGGCTAGATAAATTATTTACAATCTTTATTTTCTGACATTTATAAGCAATGTTCCTAATACTTTCAATAAGGGTTAGTCTTCTCTTTTAAGGTGTTTGGTTTTGAATTCAAAATATGAGGATTTATATGATTCTGGAACATCTCCAGATTTACAAATTCTTCGTTGCATTACAGCTCTTTAGAGGTAAGGGTGTGAAAGGACGTGTAAATATTTGGTGAGTAGCCTGAGTCATTCCAATGGAAATATTCTCCTTATAGTATTTTGGCATAAACTGAAAATGCCTCAGGCCTGGGCCTTGAGTTTTGATTCAAATGTAAAAGATTGAAAATGAATGTAATATATAGGGACATCTTTAATCATCCCCCTGAGTCCTATATTTTCCATAAATACCCATCATAAAATGGGAGTTTCCTAATGCGTGTTGAATTAGGAAAGTATAGTGTAGGTGTGATGTCTGAGAGAGGCCTTGGTGAGGCAGAAAGTGAGGACCAAGCCATCTCACTACTGCTACTTCCCAACTTAAGCAGGTAGAAAGCAAAGAGTTTTCTTAGGTTAAGTGAAATTTCCCAATTCTCTAATATAGCTGAGCCTCTGAACCAGTGGTATAAAATCTTAAAACTGGAGGATATGACTAGATTCTGCCTTTACTAATTGGCTTTTGCTATTTCAACTCTGTTTATGATTTTATGAGAACTGTACTATACATGTTACCTAATCTTTTTTATCATTCTTGTATTTTGTAATTTTTTTATTTAGATAATAACACATATACAAAAAATATTGAAATTTTTACATATATATCTACTGACTTTACCACAGCCTGGATTAAGATGTAGAACATGAAGTATATCACAAGAACTGTTCTCATGCCCCTGTCATCCATATCACCCCATTAAAGGTAATTCTTATTCTGGTTTTTATTACTATTAGTTCTACCTTTTTCCAAATTTCATATGAATAGAAATTTATAGTATATACTCATTTACGTTGTGGTTTTTTGGCCCAAATTATGCCTGCAGTAATCAGCTATAATGTTGTGTGTGGCAGTAGTTTTTTTTTTTTTTTTTTAATCACTGGGTAGAATTCTACTATGAATATATCACCGTTCACTTATCAATTCTACTGTTGAAAGACATGGTTGTTTCCAGGTTTTTGATAATTTTAACAAAGCTGTTTTGAACATTCTTGTACATGTCCTTTGCTGCACATATGCACTCATTTTTCTTTGGCATATATGTGGGGGTGAAATTTGCTGGGTCATAGGATAAGTAGTGATATGTTTTGGGTCTGTGACCCCACCCAAATCTCATGTCCAACTGTAATTCCCAGTTGTCGAGGGATGGACCTGGTGGAACATGATTGGCTCATAGGGGTGGTTTCCCCCACTGCTGTTCTCATGAGATCTGATGGTTTTATAAGGGGCTCTTCCCCCTTTGCTCTCTGCTCACACTCTCTCCTGCTGCTTTATGAAGAAGGTGCCTGCTGCTTCTTCCCGTGGTTGTAAGTTTCCTGAGGCCTCCCCACCCAAGCAGAACTGTGAGTCAATTAAACCTCTTTTCTTTATAAATTACCCAGTCTCAGTTAGTATCTTTACTACAGTGTGAGAATGGACTAATTCAAGTGGCATTAGATTATGCCAAACAGATTTTCAGAGTGGTTGAACCATTTTATAGTCTCCTTAGCAATACACAATGGTCTGGTTGCTCTACATCCTTGCCAAAGTTTGTGTAATTCAACCGTTGTGTAGCATGTAGCAGTTTTTCCTTCTTAATTCCCATGTAGTGTTTTACTATGAATATTCCACAACAAACAAATCCATTCTACTACTGAAAGACGTGTGAATCCTTAGCCATTATGGTGGGGTATAATGGTATTTCTCACGGCTTCAGTGTTTCATGATGTTGAATACTCTTCTCATAACTTTTGCAAATATGAGAACATGCCTAAAATATATGAATGTTATAGGTTGAATTGTGCTCCCCCCTCACTCATATGTTAAAATTCTAGCAGTAAGTACCTCAGAATGTGACCTTATTTGGAAATAAGGTTGTGGCAGATGTGATTCTTTATGTGAGGGTGAGGTCATACTGGAGTATGGTGAGGCCCTACCCCAAAATTACTGGTGTTCTTATAAAAGGGAAATTTGTACAAAGGGATGCAAACATGGAGGATGCCATCTAAAGATATATAGGAAGAAGATGGTCCTTCACGTCCCTTGTAAGTTGGATTCCTAGGTATTTTATTCTCTTTGAAGCAATTGTGAATGGGAGTTCACTCATGATTTGGCTCTCTGTTTGTCTGTTATTGGTGTATAAGAATGCTTGTGATTTTTGCACATTGATTTTGTATCCTGAGACTTTGCTGAAGTTGCATATCAGCTTAAGGAGATTCTGGGCTGAGACGATGGGGTTTTCTAGATATACAATCATGTCATCTGCAAACAGGGACAATTTGACTTCCCCTTATCCTAATTGAATACCCTTTATTTCCTTCTCCTGCCTGATTGCCCTGGCCAGAACTTCCAACACTATGTTGAATAGGAGTGGTGAGAGAGGGCATCCCTGTCTTGTGCCAGTTTTCAAAGGGAATGCTTCCAGTTTTTGCCCATTCAGTATGATATTAGCTGTGGGTTTGTCATAGATAGCTCTTATTATTTTGAGATACATCCCATCAATACCTAATTTATTGAGAGTTTTTAGCATGAAGCGTTGTTGAATTTTGTCAAAGGCCTTTTCTGCATCTATTGAGATAATCATATGTTTTTTGTCATTGGTTCTGTTTATATGCTGGATTACGTTTATTGATTTGCATATGTTGAACCAGCCTTGCATCCCAGGGACCTCTTCAAGGAGAACTACAAACCACTGCTCAATGAAATAAAAGAGGATACAAACAAATGGAAGACCATTCCATGCTCATGGGTAGGAAGAATCAATATCGTGAAAATGCCATACTGCCCAAGGTAATTTATAGATTCAATGCCATCCCCATCAAGCTACCAATGATTTTCTTCACAGAATTGGAAAAAACTACTTTAAAGTTCATATGGAACCAAAAAAGAGCCCGCACTGCCAAGTCAATCCTAAGCCAAAAGAACAAAGCTAGAGGCATCACACTACCTGACTTCAAGCTATACTACAAGGCTACAGTAACCAAAACAGCATGGTACTGGTACCAAAACAGAGATATAGATCAATGGAACAGAACAGAGACCTCAGAAATAATGCTGTGTATCTACAACCATCTGATCTTTGACGAACCTGAGAAAAACAAGCAATGGGGAAAGGATTCCCTATTTAATAAATGGTGCTGGGAAAACGCTAGCCATATGTAGAAAGCTGAAACTGGATCCTTTCCTTACACCTTATGCTAAAATTAATTCAAGATGGATTAAAGACTTACATGTTAGACCTGAAACCATAAAAACCTAGAAGAAAACCTAGGTAATAGCATTCAGGACATAGGCATGGGCAAGGACTTCATGTCTGAAACACCAAAAGCAATGGCAACAAAAGCCAAAATTGACAAATGGGATCTAATTAAACTCAAGAGCTTCTGCACAGCAAAAGAAACTACCATCAGAGTGAACAGGCAACCTACAAAATGGGAGACAATTTTTGCAATCTACTCATCTGACAAAGGGCTAATATCCAGAATCTACGATGAACTCCAACAAATTTACAAGAAAAAAACAAACAACCCCATCAACAAGTGGGCGAAGGATATGAACAGACACTTCTCAAAAGAAGATATTTATGCAGCCAAAAGACACATGAAAAAATGCTCATCATCACTGGCCATCAGAGAAATGCAAATCAAAACCACAATGAGATACCATCTCACGCCAGTTAGAATGGCGATCATTCAAAAGTCAGGAAACAACAGGTGCTGGAGAGGATGTGGAGAAATAGGAACACTTTTACACTGTTGGTGGGACTGTAAACTAGTTCAACCATTGTGGAAGTCAGTGTGGGGATTCCTCAGGGATCTAGAACTAGAAATACCATTTAACCCAGCCATCCCATTACTGGGTATATACCCAAAGGATTATAAATCATGCTGCTATAAAGACACGTGCACATGTATGTTTATTGCGGCACTATTCACAATAGCAAAGACTTGGAACCAACCCAAATGTCCAACAATGATAGACTGGATTAAGAAAATGTGGCACATATACTCCATGGAATACTATGCAGCCATAAAAAATGATGATTTCATGTCCTTTGTAGGGACATGGATGAAGCTGGAAACCATCATTCTCAGCAAACTATCACAAGGACAGAAAACCAAATACCGCATGTTCTCACTCATAGGTGGGAATTGAACAATGAGAACACATGGACACAGGAAGGGGAACATCACACACTGGGGACTGTTGTGGCGTGGGGGGAGGGGGGAGGGATAACCTTAGGAGATATAACTAATGTTAAATGACAAGTTAATGGGTGCAGCACACCAACATGGCACATGTATACATATGTAACTAACCTGCACGTTGTGCACATGTACCCTAAAACTTAAAGTATAATTAAAAAAAAAAAAGAAGATGGTCATATACCAGTCAAGGAAAGAGTCCTGAAACAGACCCTTCTCTCACTGTCTTCAGGAGGAATTTACGCTGCGAACACCTTGATTTCAGACTTCCAGCCTCCAGAACTGTGTGACTATACATCTTTGTGGTTCTAAGTAACTCAGTTTGTGGCCCTTGTCATAGCCATTCCAGAAAAGTAATACAATAAGCAATTATCTCCTCATCACTTCTTCCTACAATAGGACTGCTACGCCTATTGATGAGGTGTTACCTGTTTCTTCAAAGTAAATGTCATTTATATTGCAACCTGAATGGCAGCATTGTTGCTCATTGCTTTCTGTTTCAGCATTCTCTTCAGGATACATTTTGGAGCCTGCCATTACAGAAGTTAATTTGGGGATAAAATAGGATGGAGTTGAACATCGTAGATTTTCATGTAAAGCATAAGCAGAGCAGAAAACAATTTGAGAGTTCATTAACCCCTTTGCTAAAACAAGTCTCAAAGTAATGTTCCAACTTTGTTTTCTGCTTTGCCAATTCTGTTAAAGGAAAATAAATTTTCTGTCTGGCCTTTATTGAGAACGGCTTGCATTTCACAGTGCACTAAGCGTATTTGTGTGCCCCACTAACTGATTAGAAAGTTGATGTAAATGAAATAAAATTTATAAGTCTGGAATGAGATTCATGAGGGTTTATATATCAAAATATATACTTTACCTAGTAGATTTAAACTTGAATTGGAATTCAAACAATTCAATTTTTTTTCAGTTCTGCACTGTATTTGCCTGAGTTATCTGCCTGCACTGTAATTTTCACTCTAATATTATCTGACTCAGTGAATTAGAGATTGTAAGTAAAGCAAATGAAATACGAGAAAAAACATTTCTCTCCAAGGAATGTAAAATTTATAAGAGAGGTGCTTAGTAAAACAGCACACTTAATAGCATTGTATAAATACACCTTTATGTATTACAGATGGGAAAACATGCCTCAATAGCATTTGTTTCTGAGATACTTGCTGCATTACTAGAAAATAACAGCTGGAGCATCAAGAACAGAGAACTTAACACCCAAGGACGACACTGTGACCATCTGTGTTGGTGAATACGTTCCTAGGTAGGGGGTGTGCAAATGCATAACTGGTGGAAACGGATGACTTTTTATTTTTTTCCTTCTTTTTTCTCATTGAAATAAATATGGTTATATTAGAGAAGGTCAACTGACCTTAATACATAGTTTAGAAAAAACTAACCTGGACAAAGAATTGAGAGCTCTGAACTGCAATTAAAAGTGATAATTATCTTCATTTATTTTCTAAGTCAGAGTATCTGAGGGAAAGGCAGCAGGTTGGTATATCTGTATTTATGAAGCACTGACAGGGAAAATTAAGCTATATAAGAAGGTCAGCTTTCTTTCCTATCAACTCCTCCAGACTGTTCTTTAGAAAATGTCCTGAAGTGCATCCTGACATTCCTCGATGTGCATAATGGGCAGTGAAAGGTCACAGGTGGGCACACATTCAAGATGGTGTAGCTTCTAGTCTGCAACCATTTCTGTGAGTAGTCCACTAACATACCACTTTTTGGCACAACAATACAACACAGAATCTCTCTTTTCCAGATACCTAGGAGTCAGCCAATTCTTTGACCAAAGTTTATGTTAAAGTTTGGGACATGACCTATCTTATTGCTCAATGCTTTCTGTTTTAGTCATTTCCCCTGTGACTGGTTCACTATTCATAAATATTGAACCCCACAAATTGCAGTATCAATAGACACAGTTTTGCTTTAGCAAAAGCTTTGACTTGGAATTTTGCATCAATCAGGCCCCTTTGAATCCAAGCAAATAATGAGAAGTGGCAGCTCAACAGATAGAAATAGACATTTGTCACGTGAACCTACTGCATGTTAGATTTAGTAATTATAGAACAGGGACAGGATACAGCCCACCAGCGTTTAGGAAATATTCTTTGGGTTCCAGGTTCAGTATAAACATGTAAGGAGATACATAATTTTTACCCCAAATATTAAAATATGAAGTATCATTTTATCCTAGGATTCAAGGTGCTTTATAGTTCTAGTAATATTGAAACATCTCTTTCAAATAATGAAATAAATGTTACCTCTGGGACGTCACATCATCTTTGTATATTCTCCATATACAATCCTATATATATATATGTGTATATATATATATATGTGTATATATATATGTGTGTATATATATATATATATATATATACACACATATATATATATATATACATACAAATCTGAAGTGATTTTTATATACTGCAGGTAAACGAAACTTGAATTTCAAAACAAATACTCTTATAAATATCCCTGATATACCAGCTGTGTATTTATGGCCCAAGTTGTGAAGCAAGGGTTTCAAAATATTAGGCCAATACCCCCTCCATCTTGTCTACGTGTTAATCTGTTCTATTGGGATATATTATCTTGCTGTTTCCTCAAAATAAGGAGAGCGGGTGTACACATCAGAAACTTGCTCTTTTTAATTGATTCCTCATAACAGAATTTCAGGCCTGCAAAGGGTTTTAGAAGTCATTTAGTGCAGCCCTAAATTCACTGGCTACACATTGTCTACCAAGAAAAGCACCGAACATTTACTAATCATGTTCAGTATGTCTTCTTGTGCCTTGAGGTGTCTTTATTTATTTAAATCTCAGCAACACCTGGGACCCACAGACTGCAGACTGAGAGACGAGTGAAGGGGGCCTTTCAAAGTAACAAAACCAGATAAGGCAAGAGTATTTGAGGTCTATTTATTCTCCACTTGCCTTTCTCAACCTTTGTTGATACATGATGAGCCTGGACAAGAATTATAGTTGCTTTTGTTAAAAAAAAAAAGTTACTTTGTAATGTACTTTGGAAGAGAGGTGCTAGAAAGAGGGAAATTACTGTCTTCAAAATCTCTGCATTAATACACCAATCATGTACGATTGCCCAAAAACCTGAGTGTACTTACATTTTCACCTGCCCACATGCTATTCCTAGTTTTTTCTACTGTCATTTATGTCATTCTGTTAAGAGAATACAAGCTGATGTCTGTAGTAAAACAGACTCTCAGTTGCTTTTTAGAATTTCTTAGCAAGAACATACAGGATAGAACTGAAACATTCTCATTTACTGATTTTTTTCTAGTATTCCTCATATACCAGAAATATGATTTAACTAGAGGAAAATATAACAAAGCACTTTTGTCAGGTGCATAGTTCGCAAATATTTTCTCCCATTCCACAGGATATCTGCTTACTGTGTTGATAGTTTTATTTTTTAATTTTTTTTTTATTTTTATAGGTTATTGGAGAACAAGTGGTGTTTGGTTACATGAGTAAGTTCTTTAGTGGTGATTTGTGAAATGTTGGTGCACCCATCACCCGGGCAGTATACACTGCACCCAATGTGTGGTCTTTTATCCCTCATCCCCTTGTCACTCTTTCCCCTGAGTCTCCAAAGTCTATTTTGTCATTCTATGCCTTTGCATTCTCATAGCTTAGCTCCCACTTATGAGTGAGAATGTAATGATGTTTGCTTTTTCATTCCTGAGTTACTTCACTTAGAATAATAGTCTCCAGTCCCCTCCAGGACACTGGGAATGCCATTAATTCATTCCTTTTTATGTCTGAGTAGTATACCATCATACTCCATATATGTATATATGTGTGTGTGTGTATATATGTGTGTATATATATGTGTGTGTATATATGTATACATATACATATGTATATACACATATATACACACACATATATACATATATATACACATATATATATACACACACACACAGAGTTTATTTATCTACTTGTTGATTGGGTTGATTCCATGTTTTTGCAATTGTGAATTGCAAATTGCGAATTGTGCTGCTATAAATGTGTGTGCAAGTATCTTTTTTGTATAATGACTTCTTTTTATCTTGGTAGATACCCAGTAGTGGGATTGCTGGATCCTAGTTCTACTTTTAGTTCTTTGAGGAATCTCCACATTGTTTTTCATTGTGGTTGTACTAGTTAACATTCCCACTGTAGTGTAGAACTGTTCCTGTTGACTTCATGCACGCCAACATCTATTATTTTTTTATTATGGTCATTTTTGCAGGAGTAAGGTGGTATTGCATTGTGGTTTTGATTTGCATTTCCCTGATCATTAGTGATGTTGAGCATTTTTTCATATTTTTGTTGGCCATTTGTATATCTTCTTTTGAGAATTGTCTATTCATGTCTTTAGCCCACTTTTTGATGGGATTGTTTGCTTTTTTTTTCTTTTGCTAATTTGCTTCAGTTTGTTATAGATTATGGATATTAGTCCTTTGTCAGATGTATAGATTGTGAAAATTTTCCCCCACTCTGTGAGTTGTCTGTTTACTCTACTGACCATTCCTTTTGCCATGCAAAAGCTCTCTAGTTTAATTAAGTCCCAGCTATTTATATTTGTTTTTATTGCATTTGCTTTTGGGTTCTTGGACATGAAATCCTTGCCTAAGCCAATGTTTAGAAGGGGTTTTCCAATGTTATCTTCTAGAATTTTTAAAGTTTCAGGTCTTAGATTTAAGTCCTTGATCCATCTGGAGTTGGTTTTTGTATAAGGTGAGAGATGAGGATTCAGTTTCATTCTCCTACATGGCTTGCCAATTATCTCAGCACCATTTGTTGAATAGGGTGTCCTTTCCCCATTTTATGTTTTTGCTTGCTTTGGTGAAGATCAGTTGGCTATAAGTATCTGGGTTTATTTCTGGGTTGTCTCTTCTGTTCCACTGGTCTATGTGCCTGTTTGTATACCAGTACCATGCTGTTTTGCTGACTATGGCCTTATGGTATAGTTTGAAATCAGGTAATATGATGCCTCCAGATTTGTTCTTTTTGCTTAGTCTTTTTTGGTTCTATATGAATTCTGATTGTTTTTTTCTAATTCTGTGAAGAGTTATGGTGGTATTTTGTTGGGAATTGCAGTGAATTTGTAGATTGCTTTTGCAGTATATTCATTTTCACAATATTGATTGTACCCATCTATGAGCATGGGATGTGTTTCCATTTGTTTGTGTCATCTATAATTTATTTCAGCAGTGTTTTGTAGTTTTCCTTCTAGAGGTCTTTCACCTCCTTAGGTATATTCCTAAGTATTTTATTTTATTTTTTGCAGTTATTCTAAAAGTGGTTGAGTTCTTGATTTGATTCTCAGCTTAGTTGCTGTTGGTGTATAGAAGAGCTACTGATTTGTGTACATTGATTTTGTATCTGGAAGCTTTGCTGAATTCTTTTATCAGTTCTAGGAGCTTTCTGGAAGAGTCTTTAGAGTTTTCTAGGAAAATAGTCATATTATCAGCAAATAGTGACAGCTTAGCTTCCTCTTTACTGATTTGGATGTCCTTTATTTCTTTCTCTTATCTGATCGCTTTGGCTAGGACTTCAAGTACTATGCTAAAGAGGAGTGGTGAGAACTGGCATTCTTGTCTAGTTCCAGGTCTCAGAGGGAACGCTTTCAACTTTTCCCCATTCAGTATTATGTTGGCTGTGGTTTTGTCATAGATAGCTTTCATTACATTGAGGTGTGTTCCTTGTATGCCAATTTTGCTGAGAGTTTTAATCATAAAGATTGCTGGATTTTGTCAAATGGTTTTTCTGTATCTATTGAGATGATCATGTGTTTTTTGTTTTTAATTATGTTTATGTGGTGTATCACATTTTTGAACTTGAGTATGTTAAATCACCTCTGCATGCCTGGTATGAAACCCACTTGATCATGATAGAATAACTTTTTGATATATTGTGGGATTTGGTTAGCCAGTATTTTGTTAAGGATTTTAGCATCTATGTTCATCAGGGATATTGGTCTATAGTTTCTATAGTTTTCTTTTTTGGTTATGCCCTTCCCTGGTTTTGGTATTAGGGTGATACTGACTTCATAGAATGAATTAGGGAGGGTTCCCTCTTTCTCTATCTTGTGGAATAGTGTCAATAGGGTTGGTACTAATTCTTATTTAATGTCTAGTAGAATTCTGCTGTGAATCTGTCTGGTCTTGGACTTTTTTTTGTTGGTAATTTTTTATTACCATTTTAATCTCACTGCTTGTTATTGGTCTGTTCAGGGTATCTACTTCTTCTTGATTTAAGCTAAGAAGGTTGTAACTTTCCTGGAATTTATCCATCTCCTCTAGGTTTTCTAGTTTATGTGGGTAAAGGTGCTCATAGTAGCCTTGAATCTTTTGTATTTCAGTTGTTTCAGTAGTAATATTTCCTGTTTTGTTTCTAATTGAGCTTGTTTGGATTTTCTCTCTTCTTTTCTTGGTTAATCTTGCTAATGTTCTATCAATTTTATTTATCTTTTCAAAGAACCAGCTTTTTTTTTCATTTATCTTTCATAATTTTTATGTTTCAATTTCATTTAGTTCTGCTTTCATTTGGTTATTTCCTTTCTTCTGCTGGGTTTGGGTTTGGTTTGTTCTTGTTTGTCTAGCTTCTTGAGGTGTGACCTGAGATTGTCTGTTTGTGCTCTTTCAGACTTTTTAATGCTATGAACTTTCCTCTTAGCACTGCCTTTGCTGTATGCAATAGGTTTTGATAGGTTGTGTCACTACTGTCATTCAGTTTAAATACTTTTTTAATTTCCATCTTGATACATTTTTGACCCAATGCTCATTCAGGAGCAGGTTACTTAATTTTCAAGTATTTGCAAAGTTTTGAAGTTTCCTTTTGGAGTTGATTTCCAGTTTTATTCCACTGTGGTCTGAGAGAGTGCTGGATATAATTCAATTTTCTTAAATATATCAAGGCTTGCTTTGTGGCCTATCATGTGGTCTATCTTGGAGAAAGTTCCATGTACTGTTGAATAGAATGTATATTTTGCAGCTGTTGGTTACAATGTTCTATATATATCTGTTAAGTCTTTTTGTTCCGGGGTATAGTTTAAATCCATTGTTTTTTTTGTTGACTTTCTGTCTCAATGACCTGTCTAGTGCTGTCAGTGGAGTACTGAAGTCTCCATTATTATTGTGTTGCTATCTATCTTATTTCTTAGGTCTATTAGTAATTGTTTTATAAATGTGGAAGCTCCAGTGTTAGGTACATTTATATTTAGGATTGTGATATTTTCCTGTTTGTTGGACAAGGCATTTCATCATTGTATAATGTCCCTCTTTGTCTTTTTTAACTGCTGTTGCTTTAGAGTTTGTTTTGTTTGATATAAGAATAGCTATTCCTACTTGCTTTTGGTGTCCATTTGCATGGAATGTCTTTTTCCACCCCTTTACTTTAAGTTTATGTGAGTCCTTATGTGTTAAGTGAGTCTCTTGAAGGCAGCAGATAGTTAGTTGGTGAGTTCTTATCCATTCTGAAATTCTGTATCTTTTAAGTGGAGCATTTAGGTCATTTATATTCAATGTTAGTACTGAGATGTGATGTAGCATTCCATTCATCATGCTATTTGTTGCCTGTATACCCTGTTTTTTTTTTATTTAATTGTATTTTGTTTCATAGGTCCTGTGAAATTTATGCTTTAAAGAGGTTCTGTTTTGATGTGTTTTCAGGATTTGTTACAAGATTTAGAGCTCCTTTTAGCAGTTCTTGTAGGGCTGGCTTGGTAGTGGCAAATTCTCTCAGCATTTGGTTGTCTGAAAAAGACTATCTTTCCTTCATTTATGAAGCTTAGTTTTGCTGGATACAAAATTCTTGGCTTAGAATTGTTTTGCTTGAGGAGGCTGAAGATAGGGCTCCAGTTCCTTCTAGCTTGTAGGATTTCTGCTGAGAAATCTGCTGTTAATCTGACAGGTTTTTCTTTATAGGTTACTTGGTGTTTTGCCTCACAGCTCGTAAGATTCTTTCCTTCATCTTAACTTTAGATGACCTGATACAATATGCCTAGGTGATGTTCTTTTTGTGATGAATTTCCCAGGTGTTCTTTGAGCTTTTTGTATTTGGATGTTTAGGTCTCTAGCAAGGCTGGGAAAATTTTCCTTGATTATTTCCCCAAATATGTTTTCCAAACTTTTAGATTTCTCTTCTTCCTTAGGAATGCCAATTGCTTTTAGGTTTGGTCATTTAACATAATCCCAGACTTCTTGGATGCTTTGTTCATACTTTCGTATTCTTTTTTCTTTGTCTTTGTTGGATTGAGTTAATTCAAATACCTTATCTTTGAGCTCTGAAGTTCTTTCTTCTGCTTGTTTGATTCTATTGCTGAGATTTTCCAGGGCATTTTGCATTTTTATAAGTATGTCCATTGTTTCCTGAAGTTTTGAATGTTTTCTATTTATGCGATCTATTTTTCATTGACTATTTTTCCCTCCACTTCTTGTATCATCTTTTAAATTTCCTTAGAGTGGGCTTTGCATTTCTCTGGTGCCTCCATGTTTAGCTTAATAACTAACTTTCTGAATTCCTTTTCAAGTAAATCAAGGATTTCTTCCTGGTTTGGATCCATTGCTGGTGAGCTAGTGTGATTTTTTTTGGGGGGAGTGGTGGTATTAAATAACTTGTTCTGTCATATTACTAGAGTTGGTTTTCTGGTTCCTTCTCTTTCGGGTAGGATCTGTCAGAGGCAAGGTCTAGGGCTCAAGGCTGTTGTTCTGATTCTTTTGTCCCATGGGGTGTTCCCTTGATGTTGTACTCTTTCCCTTCTCCTAGGCATGTGGCTTCCTGAGAGCTGAGCTATAGTGATTGTTATCTCTCTGCTGGATCTAGCCACCCAGCAAGTCTACCAGACTCAGGGCTGGTACTGGGAGTGGTCTGCACAGAGTCCTGTGATGTAAACTGTCTATGGGTCTCTCAGCCATGGATACCAGCCCCTGATCCAGTGGAGAATGCAGGGAGGTAAGATGGACTCTGTGAGGGTCTTTGGCTTTGGTTGCTTAATGCACTATTTTTGCACTGGTTGGCCTCCTGCCAGGAGGTGGCGTGTTCAAGACAGCATCAGCTCTAGAGCTCCCAAGAGTATATACCCTTTGTCCTCAGTTACCAGGGTGGGTAGGGAAGGACCATTAGGTGGGGGCAGGGCTAGTCATGTCTGAACTCAGACCCTCCTTGGGCTGGTCTTGCTGCAGCTGCTTTGGGAGATGGGGGTGAGGTTCCCAGGTCAATACGATTATGTTCCTAGGAGGATTATGGCTGCCTGTACTGTGTCATGCAGGTTGTCAAGGAAGTGGGGGAAAGCCAGCAGTCACCTAGCTCCCACGTAACCCAAAGGGCTTGTCTCACTCCCACTGTGCCTCTCCAGGCAGTGAGCAAGCAGGTAAGAGAACTTGCCCCAGGCTACCCACCTCCTAGCTGCAAAAGCAATTAGGGCTTTTGTTCTTCCCCTGCCTGTGGAGTCTACACACCGGATTCAAACTCTCTCCTGAATTCTGGCCAGGAGACTTCTCGATGGGTTCAAATTGTTAACGAAGTTCAGCTGGAGGTTTCGTTCTCCTGGAAGCCTTTTTCTAGTACCTCTGGCTGCCCTCTCCAAGGACCCCTGTGAGGCAGGGTAGAAATAGCTTGCTTGGGGACCCAGCAAGCCCACAGGGCTCTTCCAGCTGCTTTCTCTACCCATGTATTCCTCTCAGGTCTCTAAATTGACTCACTCCAGGTAAGATAAGAATCTTCTCCTGTAATCTAGACCTTCGGGTTCCCCAGTGTGGGGGTGTGTTCTGAGGCAGACAATCCTCTTTTCCAGCTTCCACAGTTTGGGCACTCACAGTATTTGGGTGTCTCCTGAGTCCTGCAGGAGCAATCTGCTTCCTTCAGAGGGTCTGTGGGTTCTCTTGGCTTTCCTAATGCATTCCTGCAGTAGTTCTGGAGCAAAAGTTCACAATACAAGCCTCCACACACTGCTCTGAGTGGGAGCTGTAATCTAGTCCTGCCTCCCATCTGCCATGATCTGTGTTGATATTTTCTCTTGTTGTTCAGAAGCTCTTAAGTTTAATTAAATCCCATTTGTCAATTTTTGCTTTTGTTGCAATTTTTTGGCATCTCTTTTTTTTTTTTAAGACAGAGTCTTGCTCTGTCGCCCAGGCTGGACTGCAGTGGCACAATCTCAGCTCACTGCAAACTCTGCCTCCCGTGTTCACACCATTCTCCTGTTTCAGCCTCCCGAGTAACTGGGACTACAGGCTCCCGCCACCATGCCTGGCTAATTTTTTGTATTTTTAGTAGAGATGGGGTTTCACTACTAACATGGTTTCACAGTGTTAGGTGATGGTCTCGATCTCCTGACCTCGTGATCCACCTGTCTCGGCCTCCCAAAGTGCTGGGATTACAGGCATGAGCCACTGCGCCCGGCCTTGGCATCTTTTTCATAAAATTTTTGCTAGTTCCTGTGTCCAGAATGGTATTGCCTAGGTTGTCTTTCAGGGTTTTCATAGTTCTGGGTTTTACATTTAAGTCTTTAATTCATTTTGAGTCGATTTTTGTATATGGTATAAGGAAGGGATCCAGTTTCAATCTTCTGCATATGGTTACCCACTTATTCCAGCACCATTTATTCAATAGGGAGTCCTTTCCCCATTGCTTGTTTCTGCTAACTTTGTGCAGATCAGATGGTTGTAGGTGTGTGGCCTTATTTCTAGGCTCTCTATTCTATTCCATTGGTCTATATCCAGCATGTACAAGGAATTTGAACATATTTACAAGAAAAAAACAAAAGGAGATACTTTTCAAAAGAAGACATACATGCGGCCAACAAGCATATGAAAAACTCAGTATCACTGATCATTAAAGAATTGCAAATCAACACCACAATGAGACACCATCTCACACCAGTCAGAATGACTGTTATCAAAAAGTCAAAAAATAATAGATGCTAGCAAAGTTGAGAAAAGAGAATGTTTATATACTGTTGGTGGGATTGTAAATTAGTTCAACTATTATGGAAGTAGTGTGGTGATTCCTCAAAGAGCTAAAAACAAATCTACCATCTGACCCAGCAATCCCATTACTAGATATATACCCAAAGGAATAGAAATCATTCTATTATAAAAACACATGCATGCATACATTCATTGTAGCACTATTCACAATAGCAAAAACATGGAATCAATCTAAATGCTTGATATGGCTTGGGAACCTCCACTTAGATTTCAGAGGATGTATGATACACCTGGATGTTCAGGCAGAAGTTTGCCACAGGGGTGGAGAGCTCATGAAGAACCTCTGCTAGGGCAGTGCAGAAGGGAAATGTGGGGTTGGAGCCCCCACACAGAGTTTCCACTGGGATACTGCCTACTGAAGCTGTGAGAAGAGGGCCACTGTCCACCAGACTCCAGAGTAGTAGATACACTGATAGCTTGTACCATGTGCCTGGAAAAGCCACAGACACTCAACGCCAGCCTGTGAAAGCAGCAGGGAGGGTGGCTGTATCCTGCAAGGCCACAGGGGCAGAGGACCCCACCTGTTGCATCAGCATGACCTAGATGTGAGACATGGAGTCAAAGGAGATTATTTATGAGCTTTAAGATTTTATGATCAACCCACTTGATTTTGTACGTGCATAGAGCCTGTAGCCCCTTTGTTTTGGCCAATTTCTCCCATTTGGAATGGCAACATTTATCCAATGCCTGTAACCCCATTGTATCTTGGAAGGAACTAACTTGCTTTTGATTTTACAGGCTCATAGTCAGAAGGGACTTGCCTTTTCTCAGATGAGATTTTGGAATCGGATTTTTAAGTTAGTGCTGAAATGAGTTAAGACTTTGTGAGACTGTTGGGAAGGTATTATTGGTTTTGAAATGTGAGAACATAAGATTTGGGAGGGGCAAGGGGTGGAAAGGCATGGTTTAGCTTTGTGTTGCCACCCAAATCTCATCTTTAATTATAATCCCCAGGTGTTGAGGAAGAGACCAAGTGGGAAGTGAATAGACTATGGGGCAGTTTCCCCCATGCTGTTCTCATGGTAGTGAGTAAATTCTCATGAGATCTGATGGTTTTATAAGTGGTAGTTTTTCCTGCACTCATATACACACATATACACACTCTCTCCTGCTGCCATGTAAGACATACCTGCTTCCCCTTCCACCATGATTGTAAGTTTCCTGAAGCCTTGCCAACCATGCAGAACTGGGAGTCAATTAAACCTGTTTTCTTTATAAATCCCTCAGTCTAGGGTATGTCTTTTAGCAGTGTGAGAACAAACTGATACAAAGCCTATCAATGGCAGAATGGATAAAGAAAATGTGGTACATATATACCAGGGAATACTATACAGCCATAAAAAAACCAAAGAGATCACATCCTTTGCAGGAACATGGATGGAGCTGTAAGCCATTATTTTTAGCAAACTAGAGCAGGAACAGAAAAACAAATACTGTGCATGTTCTCACTTATAAGTGGGAGCTAAATAATAGAAGCACATGGACACAAAGAGGGGAACAACAGACACTGGCACCTACTTGAGGGTGAAAGGTGGGAAAAGGGAAAGGATCAGAAAAAATAACTGTAGGGTACTATGCTTAATAACTGGGTGATGAAATAATCTGTACAACAAACCCCTGTAACATGAGTTTACCTGTATAACAAACCTGCACATGTATCTCTGAACCTAAATAAAAGTTTTTAAACATTTCAAAAAGTAATAATGTTTAAAAAAAAAAGCACCTAATAATTTGCAAGGTTGGCAACACACAGGAATATAGCTAGAAACATGATGTGCCCTTTTTAGGACACACATATATTATGAGTTTTTGTGTTGCTGAAGCCCATTGAGAATTGACAGATTTGCCTGGTGCATTTGATCACAGTTGGGATACATAAACATATTTTCTGTTTGTCTTGGAGTATTTTCCATCAGAAATGTTATTTGAAGATATTTCATGAACTGAGGCTAATGAAGAAAATGCATAAAGGGACAGAATGATGAGTAAAACTGGAAAATTCTGGATATTGATTGAAATTGGGAAAAGGAAACAGTGAGGCATATTTATATTATTTATATAATGAAACAAAGGGAAAAATTTCAATAACATATATGATTTTCCAGATGCATGACAAATCATAAACTTTCACTAAGACAAACTTAAAGAAAGCAGGCATTTCCTAATTTTCCCTGGCAAGAATATACTATGGATATGTATATATGTTTATTAAAAAATATATAGAAATATATATTTGTGAATATATGTTTACACAATTACCTACAATGTGAATTCTCCAGTGTAAACTTTGCATATTAGTGGGCAAAGATAGCTACAGTACATTCCTAGGCATAAATATTTTCAAGAACTATATGTGTCAATATATTTGTTTTTCCACCTGAGTTAAAGAAGAAAGTTTACTGTGAACTAAGAGGAGGTAAAGGGGTTACATTATAGGTTAATGCAAAGATAAGATTGTTTACTACCCTTTACAAAAGGGTGTTCCTATGTGCTGATGTGATAATAAATGAGATCTTGAGGTGTAGTAGCTGCAGAAAATAAAAGGAGGGGTGTTTGTTGCAGTGTGGGGATATACCTATGATCTTGGGTTAAAATAAGGTTGCTGCACCCAAGTGCACAATTCATTTCTGAAATCAGTACCTAAAAGGCCGAATGAATCATTTGTACTAAACAGAAATGGGTGAGAGAGAGAATTCTCATCATCATATATGTAGGACCACCTCTTAACATGCAAATCTATCAATCCAGTAAAATGTATAGTTTTATAAATGTATAATATAAAAACAAAAGAGACTATATTTCTTCAAAATATTAGGGATAAGAAGTCAAAAATGAAAACTGAGAGCCTTTGGAAAGATACAAATATATATAAACATAGAATTAAAAATACTTTTCTCTCCCATGGAAATAGGATTAGAAAATTATTACTCTTTACTGTTTTTAGATAATTGAATTAAGATCTATATGATTTCACAAAAACAAAATCCCAGTTACCTTGATTTGATCATTACACATTGCATGCTTGTATCAAAAGTTCACATGTACCCCATAAATATGTACAACTATAATATATACAGGGAAATTAAAAATTAAAACTTTAAAAAAATTATAAAATAAAATGCACATATTTTAACAAATGGAACATTTAATTCTTAGTTGCTGTATTGTTATTATAAAAAAACAGAGGGGAAATTGGTCATCAAATGCATTTCAAATGAGGTAATGCTGCTTTGATCCAGTCTCACCATGACCAATGATTTCTGCACCTGAGAGGTAAAAAAGGGGAACAGAAAAGGTTTGATCCCTTTGAAACAATCACATGGTTAAAATGTTATGCTGTTTATTACTATGAATAAAGAAATAGTGAAAATCCTTTGGTAAGTCATATATTTTTTTTATTTTTAAAGAGTAAACATTAGGCCCACTCTAGAAAAGAAGGATACTCTTAAGTAATAGCACTTAGCACAGGGTGTGGCACATAGCAGCACCTCTAGCGTATAGCACCTCTAGCATATGTTCGTTAAATCCACTGATAAATAAATGAAACTGAGGAGTAACTGAGAAAGGTTGTGGTCAGAAAGAAAAGGACTTGTATACCTTAATAATGAGTTTAAAATATATTCTCCAAACAACTAAGAGTCATCCAAAAATTGTAAGCAAGGAAATGACACAAATAGATTGTGCTCTTTAAATATAATTCTGAGAACATTGTAATAGATACAGTTGAGAGACTCAATTAATAAGCAAAATTTTTCTCAGAGTATTTTAGGAATTATTTCATTTTTTCATGGAAGAAATGACCACATTCTAACCTAAAATATTTGCAATGGGGATGGAAAAGAGAACACACATGCAAAAAGTAGCTTAGTGGTAAAATTTGTTGATTGATTCATGACAGGAAAGAAGTTGAGCTGACCCCATGACTTCTGGTCTTAAGAATAGCATGGATGGCAATGCAGGAGCCAAGTCTAAGGTTGATGTGAATTATGTGTAGATAAGAGTGTTTCACAACATCCAGTATTTGAAGTGCCTATAGAACCTCCACTGGACATATCCAGGAGGCTTTTAGAAATATTCATGAGGATATCAGAGAAGAGGTAGACAAATAGACTAGAAAGTCATTGCATGTATGTAGTAGGCAAATTCAAGTGCAAATTAGTTCATTTATTTATTTATTTTGCAAATCCCTACTCAGCACCTCTTTTTCATCAAGGACTGCTCTGGGTAATTGGGATGTATCTATGAACTAATCAAATGAACATTTCTGCTCTCTTGCAGCCTATATTTTATTTGGGGCCACAAATGCTATGTCAAACCATACAAAATTCTGTTAGTGCCCTGCCTATGGTCCCTTAGTACTAATAATTCCCATCACTGTTAACTTCCAACTATCTGTATATTTTTTCTGAGGACTCTCTTATGCCTTGTCAAAAGAAGCCCACAAACAATAATGTAAAACAGCTGGCAAAAATGTGCCCCATCTCCTTTATACCTTTCATGTGCATTATTTATGCTATCTATCAGTCTCTTTTCCAGCTGTATTGCAAATATTTTAGTTTAGAACTTGTCATTTCTTGTATGAAAACAGCAATAACATCTGAAATATCCTGAAAACAATTCTGCTGGTTAATTTGAGTCTCTCAGCTGTATTTCTTTACAATGTTTTTAGAGTTATATTTAAAGAGCACAATCCAGTTGTGCTATTTGCTTGCATACATTTTTTGGAGGACTCTTCGTCACTTGGAGAATATTAGGATTATCTCCAGTTGCCCATAGTAGTACCTCGCTTGATAGTACATCTTTTATTGGCTTTGCTCCTTTCTCTATCCTTCTTCCCTACTCCACTTCCCCCTAAAACACAATTGTCAGTAGAATCCTTTTCTGAGGTTCTGCATCTACAAAGTGAGTAAGCATATTAAGTAAGCGAATTAGCATATTAAATAACCAAATAATATAGTGTTTTAGTAGGTGATATGTGCTACAAAGGAAAAAGGTTAGTAGAGTAGAGGCTTATGTCCCTGGAAGAGAGAGAGATAGGGTGAGATAGGATGAGATGTACGGTGAGAGATAGGGTGAGAGAGTGTGTGAGAGATCGGTTGAGAGAGTGTGTGAGGAAGGAAGGAGGTAGCAGGCAGAAGACAGAAAGTTGTAGCCCCCCTGAAGAAGTATGGTCTTTATTGAGATAAAAATAAGGAGACATTAGAGGGATTTGAGCAGAGTCCTATCATGGTTCAACTCACACCTTCAAACTTTTACAGTGACTTTCATTGAGAATAGACAATAAGAGGTAAGAGTTAAAGTAAGGCAACAGTTGGAAACTACTATAGTAATTCAAGTTAGAGGATACAATAGCTTGTGCCAAGGTGGTAGCAGTTGAGGGGTGAGTAATGGTCAGATTCTGAATGTTTCAAAAGTTGAGTCACCAGGCTTTTGGGGGATATGAGAGAAAGGGAGGAGTCACAGATGACTGCAATGATTTTGACCTCAGCAATTGGAAGATAGAGTTGCTATCAACTGAGATGGGAATGTCTAGCCCAAGAATTACATCTGAGCTATATTGGGTTTGCAGCATTTATTAGACATTCATATGGATATGTCCAGTAAACAGCTGGTTATGTGCATGTGGAATTTGGAAGGGCTGGGGAGATATAATCCCTTGAAACTGAATGAGAAACTGAAGAAATTAATGTGGATATATAAGACAAGAGGGTCCAAGAGATGAGTTCTATGGCATCATAATATTTATATATCGAGGAAAAGAGGCAGAGCCAGCAAAGCAGACTGAGGAAGTGACTAGTGTGTTAGGACAAAAATCAATAGTTTGTACCTATTTTAAACTGTAAGGGGGAAAAGCCTTTCTGCCATGAGTCTAAAAGAAAATCAAGGACAGGAATTAAATGCAGAGAATATAGATTACTCTTCTGAAGAATTCTACTGAAAAGGATTTCACAAAAATGGACGGTAGATAGTCAGGAAAAGGTGTTGAGAGATGATATTTTTCTTTTGAGATGTGAGGGAGAATTTGTAGGTTGTAGGTTCAGAGGAATTAGCCAGTAGAGAGAAAATTAATGATGTAGAAATGGAAGGTTAGAATTGCCAGCATGTTCTTGATGAGGCAATGGGGATGGGATCTAGTGTAAAAGTGGTGGTACCTGCTCATGGTTATTCTTCTGGGTAACATTAAGTAAGGCATATGTGAGTTCAGATGCTGAAATGTGGGTGAATATTTTGAGAGGATTATTGAAGCTCTCTTCTGAATCATTCAATCTTCTTGATAAAATTAGAAGCTAAATTATCAGGGCAATGTGAAGCTAGGAGAGGAGCTATCGGAGATTTGAAGAAAAGATGTGTGACATAGTCACCTAAGAAAGTAGGTGAATGCATGGACTCCTGAAGTGTAGTGTGATTACCAAGAGCAATTAGAGCCAACTTTGTATGAGTAGCCATCACATTAAAGAGTTAATAGTATTACTGGGGATTTTTTTCTTCATTTTATTCAGCTGCACAGATACAGGCACGGAATAGATGGAAGACAGATTTAACCAGGATTTTAGTTTTGCCAAGAGATTACCACAGAAGTACAGATGGGCAAGGGAAAGAGTATATACAAGGGAATAAAGAAGATAGACAATAGAATTTCAGCTAGAGGAGAGTAGGAAAAGTACTAGAGTGAGGGACCTGGGTAGATAGGAGGGGCTGTCAGAGGGTGGGATGCAGGGAATTGCATTTCAAAAAGGTATGGGTGGTGCTAATAACAAAATTTGGAGTATGACAGAAGGAGTGAGTGGATAAATTAATGAGCCATATAAGATCTTTAAGGAAGAGAAGTTCAAGCACTTGAGAGGTCAGAGTGCTTAAGACTAACTCACTTGTACATATATTGAATTTGGAAAAAATAATGACAATGACATTCCTCAGAAATGAGGGATATGACTTGGGGTTCAGTAGAGTGTAGCAATAATCAGAGAGTGGGGATACACTTATGACATAAGGGTTTCTGTTGAAAGGGGAAAGTGAATGTTATAAAAGTGGAAATGAGGAAATACCTTATCCCTAGGGCCCAGTGTTATTACAGAAAATAGATACTTTTTGGAGGGTCCCAGAGGAAGCAGTGTTCTCAGGGCAAAGCCAGATTTCCTGTAGAGCAAGAAGGTGAGATGAATGTTCAAAGCACAGGTTGAGGGGTTCTGTAAATGATGCTCTGCATCTACAGAAGCAAAGGAGAAGAATTTCAAGATTTGAGGAGGAATGCTAGATAGGAAAAGATGTGCAGAGTGAGATTCCATAGGAAAAGAAAGTGAAGTGAAACAAGCTATCCAAGGACCAAAACTGGAAAAGACAAAAGCAAAGAATAAATATAAATGTAAGACAATGATAGGAGTGATTAGAAAGAAAATAATGAGTGATTGGAAAAAAAGAAAGTAATCAAATAGTGTCACTTCGGTTAAGGTGAAAAAGAATCATATTCCTCATAGAATTGCTCATTTCTTATTTTTGATACAGTTGTATTTTCTGCCATTTTCCAGCCCTCCTCTTAACTCTTCTCATCCATGTCTTTTAAGACAGCAACCATGACTTTAGGAAGCACATGTTACCTCCTTATAGGTTGTTTACCAGGACAAAGCTATTTGGCCCTTTAAGGTAGGGGTCCCCAACCCCGGTCCACAGATCAGTAACAGTCTGTGGCCTGTTAGGATCAGGGATGCACAGCAGGAGGTGAGTGGCCTGGGAGGGAGCATTAACACCTAACCTCCGTCTCCTGTTAGAACAGCCAGGGTCGTTAGAGTCTCATAGGAGCATGAAACCTATTGTGGAACTCTCTATCTCCCCTACCCCACCTCCACCCCCGACCCCATGCATGGAAACATTGTCTCCCATGAAACCAGTCCCTGGATCCCAAAAGGTTGGGGATCGCTGCTTAAAGGGACATTATAAGGAACTATGATCCTTTAGTCCAGTAGTTAGAAATTTTTTATCACTCTCTAGCTTTACTTCTAACAGCTGCTTCAAATTGCCCTGTATTCTCCCTAATGATCAGCTTATACCAGATGGAAAACCAGAGGGATAGTTATCCTATCTCACCACAAGCAGACAAAAGGCAAAGGAAACTCAGGCTTCGCCTCTTGACATTTTCAGAGTCTTATAGATCAAAAAAGTGAGCCCAACCCTATTTCTTACTGTGCATTTTAATTACAGCCAAAGCAACAGGTAAGGATATTAGGCACATATGCTAATTACTCCTTGGATTCATATTCTTTGACAACGACTTAGAGAGATAAGGTTCAAATTAAATTTGGTTAATGTCTAGCATTTTTGTTGTTTTTGTAAGTTGTTAAATTTGAGTCAATGGAATAAATACCCTTTTTACAAAAATAAAATATAAAAACTTGATTTGTGTACAGGGATTTATTTGATATGCTTACTATGTAATTTAAAGGTGAGAGGACTTAACAAATTTACTTCAATGTAATCAGCTTGGGCTTAATTACTGAGCATTTTTTAGTCCTTTTATAGTTACACTTTTCTCAAATGACAGTGCTTCTCAGGAAATTACTGATGCTTATATATTTTGTTTAACGAAATTTAACCAAGCAAGTAAAAATCAAAAGGATGACATTATGTTTCAGATACAGATCAAATTAGGGCTGGTTTGTGTAAATGTTTTGCTTTATTTGCTGTAATCTGAAGCACAATTTTCCACATATTTTCTTACCAGCCATCAAGCCTTGTCTGCTCTTCATCATCTCCATTAATTAAACCTTCGCATTTTTATAGAGTTTTTGACCTTTTGCAATACCCTAAAGGTCCCTAAAGTCTATAATTTCTTCTGGGGTGAAGACCAAGGAGAAATTGGTATATAAATTTCACAAAAATATTTTTGATCATTTCAAGCTTCTAGCAAAGTTAGAACTGGTAGAAAACAGCAAAAATCATCTAAAAATATTTAGAGATAAAATATCTAAAAATATCTAAAAATATTTAGAGATAAAAATATTTATGAGAGCATGATGGCTCCTAAAACTATTTTCAAATTAAATTAACTCATTGTAAATGTTAATGAACATTTGATTTAAACTTATTAAAATGTATAACTATATAAATTCTCATTTTAAAAAAAGGCAAGCTAGCTTAAAATTGTATCAGGAATGGGACTTTATGGGCCAGTTTTTCAGAATGTTGATTTCAATGGAATCAAAATAGCATCTATGCTACCTCATCTACACACCACAGAAAAATGTTTCACTTCTTCAACTCCATGTTGCTAAACTACAGAATTCTGTGAAGAGTAACTTGTGATCTCAGACATGACTTTATGAAATCCTGCATCTTATTTCTCAAACAGTACGAATATATGATCTTTATTGCAAAAAATGTCTTACTTCATTCTGCTCAGCATATTCTGGTAAGTAATCTTGTCTTCTTTCCCCTAATTTACTGAGTCCAAAGATTCAAATGAAACCTACTAATCAATCTCTGCTTTTGAGACAAACTCAACAAAAGAGAAAATAAAGTTACTGGAAATGATTTGCTTTTAGTAAATTGGTATGTGCTCCTAGTGAAAAGTGAGTGGGTTTTTTACTAAATTTTTAGATCATCAGTTGGAGAATCTATCATAGTATTTTTTGGGGGAAGGTCACTGTCAAATATCCATCGTTTACATCATTTAGAAAGTCTTACCTTATTGGTCTTTCTTTTGTCTTCTGACATTATTCTCATCTCCTTGACATTTTTAAAGATTGATTTAGTTTTAATGAGCTCCTTCTGTAAATTTTTCACACAACTCAGGATATAACTCATCCAGATATAGAAGCTTCCTTTGCCGGATCAATCACCTTACTCAACCTCATTTTCCCAACTGCATCGATGTTGTCTGTACACAAGACTCATGACTCATGATCTACCTCTTCTATATGGAGTAACTCACAGTTATGTTGGTTTTAAAATTCTATCAGTGTGTACCTGATCCTTCAAACAACAATTTGCTATCAGAAATAAGCTAGCAATTTGTTGTTACAGACATTTTAAGAGGTGATTGATGAAAACTCACTGAGTATATTAAGGGTCATTTTATTACCCTCATTATTCATTAAGACAACTTGAAGTGGAAGCTGTAAGTTCTAGCATTAAAACTTTAAATTTCCTTTTGGGTTTTCTGCAATGTTTTCCTTTTTGCAGGATTAATTTGGCTACTAGTACCATTTGTATAGTTTTTACATTTCATGTGTTATTTTAATAATCTCACTCTATTGCCGTATACAGTTAAAATATAACTTTTAGAAATGAAAGAAAAATAATCTTCCTCTTATTACTACCCAAGTATAAACATTAGGAGGTGAGAATGAAAATTTATTAAATGTTTATTCTCTGGAGTCTTATGAATAGCTATAAAGCCATTACAGCCACAAAACAAGGAACAGAATGATCATTTCCTAACACGTTGGGATAAATTACCAGTTGGCTTTTAATCAATGAATTTGGACAAGAGATGCAGACAATTGTGTGACTTAACTCGTATGGTTTTTACAGTCCTTTTGAGTTGCCATGAATAAAATAACAGCTTTTGGGCATAAGGTACAAAAAGTGAATCAAAGCTTTTAGGGTTTACATGCTGTATTATCCATGTAACGTGTAGAACTTATGTGAAAAATTCAAAAGAAGAGAAAAAGTTTTAAATTATGTATCTATATATTTAAATTATTTATATATTTAAATTATTTATCTATATATTTATTCACCTACTCTGTTATTTAAAAAGTAATGATCTCACTGGGTTTAATGACCCCAAGTTTAGAAAGTTGCTAATTTCTCTTTGTCTTTGAATTAGTGCTCAGCATCTTGTCTTACCATTCAAAATTTCCAAGAAGCTTGCTAAATGCCCACTGTATCTAGCATAAATAATATTCGTAAATAAGATGGACTCATAGAAAAATATTTTCATATTATATCAAATGCCTTTATAGTAATTTCACAAGTGTAAGTACTAAATATTCAGTTTCAAATTAATATAATATAAAATTAAATAATTATTCTGGTTACATTAATTTGTGATAATTTTAAAATTAAAGAATTTATCTTCATCTTTCATTCTTTAACACTGTATTTTCAAATTCTCTATTTTTTTCTGATGTAAACTTTTTCAGAAATATTGCTATTTTATCTACATATGAATTTTTCAGCATATAGTCATTTATTATATTCCTTCATCATTCTATTTAATTTCTATATTATCTGAGTAGTTAAAATGTTTAATTTGTTTCATGAAAAATAACAAATTAAAAAACCTAATACTCAACTTTTTTAAAAAAAGTTTTCATTTTGCAATGGGGGAATTAATAAAAGGAAAGGAGACAGGTTGTGTCCATTGGAAGAAAATACAGGGAATTTGTACAGTATGGAAAATGTACGTAGAAAACATTCACCGTCCTTTCCCCTGAGATTAGAAAGTGCTGGAGTGAAGAAAGAAAGGGAAAAAAATCCCTGAGGGGATATTTCTGTGGTTCTTAAAAAGTGTAATGACCAGATTGTATTGAAAAGAAGCAGCTGAATTGTCTAAGGGAAAGCAAAAGACATTGTTTCTGTTGTGAAAATTTCAAGGTTCAGTAACTCTCTAGTGTAAAATATGGCAGACATGTTTCCATTCTTAGAAAAGTATGGATAGCTAAAAGTGAATTCTAAAAATTTGGTAGAACAAGGTATTGCATAGAGTAAGCATAGATAAATGTTAAAATATATTATTTTCTCTTTCAAAAATTATGGGATGAATGATTCTCACTTCCTAATATATTTTGTTTCCAAATTAGTAACTTAACTGTATGCTGGAGTTAATTTTTAGGTGAGGATTTGATAGGTGCAGCAAACCACCATGACACATGTTTACCTGTGTAACAAACCTGTACATCCTGCACATATACTGCAAAACTTACATAAATAAATAGAAAAAATAAGTACCCCCCAAAATAATGTATGAAAAATAAATAATAAATATTAAAGAGGCAGATATTCTCAAGTGCTAATGTAAACATGTTAGGTTTAAGGCACCATGCTAGATATTGCAGTTGGGAATTCAAAAGAAATAATAGACATGGTCCTTCTACTCTAGGATCTTTGAACTCATGGGAATACTATAGGAACAATTCTGGGAATTTAGATTCAATACTTTTTCCTTAATCTTCTAGACTGTAGACTCTATCCTGCAGCCAGAAGTTGTATGTACAATGGGTAAGGGGTGCAGATGAGATACATTATTGAACAAATTTCAGTAAGTGTTGGATGGACAAAACAATGTGTTAGGAGATTGATTTGGAGACTGACACAGTAAGATTAAATTCTTAAAACACTGAATGTATAAAATCAAATTTGGAGGTTTTGAATTGTTTATTATATAACACTGTAAGGGTGAGGAGTACAAATCTGAGCTTGTTTACAATTGTCTACCAAATAGGCCTTAAGGCAGAGATTTTTAGTTTACTTATCTTAGGGACTCTAGACAGCTGATTCTTCTCTTGAGTAAAGAACAGTTCCCCTACAAGAGCCTGTGGGAGTGAGAAGATGTGAATGGCCTGTGCTGTGGGTTAGATGTGCACATCCCTGCAAACGAATGAGTGAGTTGTTTCTTAAGCCAGAGCCCATGGTGAATCCAGAGAAACTTGCTTGGCTTTGGTGTTTCTGAGAATTTAAATGCGTAGGAATGACCTGGCTTCATTATGGTCCTACCAACAGTGCATTCAGCAAAGCTCAGTCGTCTCCATAGTGTCAGGTGATGGTTCAGTTCTGCTAGCCTGTGTGTATCTCAAGGCAGAGCCTGATCTATCTTTCTACTGACTTTCACCCTCAGAGGTGGTACAGGAGGATCCATGGCTCCTGAAGTTCATTTTTAACTTCGTTTCCCTCTAACACCACTGAATAAGCTATAAGGCATTGTATTGTATACTTGCGTGACTACCTCAAGGGGAAAATTTGGCTTAGAAAGAGCTAATGTGTATTTTCATGTGGCCTCCATGTTAACTAAGATAACAAAAAACATAATCCTTCAACAACCATCCACTTGCCTCCCTCCATCCTCTTGGATGCGTATGTGGAGTTGACAGAGCAGGTGGTGATGTCCCCCAAGCCCTCACCAACACTTTCTCAGGGTTACACTGTTACAGCCATTGCTTTTGGTGCAATTAGTGAGGCCCAATAATTCTTCCACTAAGCCCAGAGCTACTATTTTAAAGATAAAAATATTTTTACTTAAGTTTTTTAAATTGCATGTGTGGGGACACATGTACCTATACATATACACACTATTTTATAGTATTACTTAATGAAAGGTTTTATACTGTACTATTTAAAAATACATTTTAGCGTTAATCCATTTGGGGACAATGTTAATAAATTAAAGTGACAAGTTTAATTTTTCTTGGGTACATATTTTCACTTTATAGAAATAATTTATCTTTATTCACTTTTGGCTAAGGTTTATTTTTTTTCTTGAATAACATCTCACTCTAACACAGATCTCCTATATAGTTATATAGTGGATAAGAACACACACTATGAAATCACACAGATCTTTGCTCAAATGTCAGCATTCCCATTTGACTCTTTAGACAGTTATTTAATCTTTCTATAAAATGGGAATAATAATAATAATACCATTCTGGGAATTGTTTGAGTTAATAATGCATGTACTACAATTTGCACTGTGCCTGGCACATAATAAGCAGACAATTGATCCTATCTGAACTTCACTTAGTATATAGTCCCTGATATATATTAGCAATGTAATAAACAGCAAGAAGAAAGGAAGGTGGGGGAAGGAAGGGAAAAGGAAAGGGGAAGGGAAAAGGGAAAGGAAGCAGAAGCAGAAGGGGAAGGGAAGGGATTCTCTTGAATGAGACAGAAGCCTAGATGTATTACAAAGTATTGTAATGATCTGCTTACATATCTTTCTCTCCCACAAAACTGTAAGCATCATGCAGGCCAAAAGGATTGTGTTGTTTTCATGTCCGTAGAATCCAGAACTACTAACGCATTATTTTACAAGTGGTAGATACACACACATTTTTAAGTGAACTAAACCAAATAAGAATATGTATTTATAGGATAAGATTTGTTTAATGTCTGTCACCATATTAAATTGTAAGCTTCATGAAAGCAAGGAAAGGACTTGTATTTTTTTTCACCGCTATATCATTATCAGTTAGAATACTTGGTGCAGTAAATGGCTATATTGGACTTCAGGGAAGAAATTTCCAAAGGTATCTACATCCCTGGATAGTCTGATCTATAAGTAGCACCTCCTACATGAACATGAGAGAAATAATCCTGGAAGGCATTACCATGAATTAGGTAATCAATTTTTCGGTAACATTGCAGATGTTCATTGCTTTACCTTGTATGTACAACATTCCTGAAAACTTTTGAACATAATATCTACTTAAAAATTATAGCACTAAAGATAATTTTACTATCATTATGTTAGGCATTTAAAATATCTTTGAGAATTTGTTTAATATTTTCAATCACAATGTGTTGTTGTGATTGAAACAAATAGCCTTTGTTCCTAGGACTTAGAACAGATAGCCTTGTTCCACCTCTAAGCAGCTAGAGAGCAATCTAAGGTCAGTTCACGTAAGAATTGGGGTTGATCATGCAGGATGTTGCCTGGCCACATAACTCCCAGAATGGCCTGTGAGGTTACCCAAACAAGCACTTTTCACCCGCAGTGAGAAATTACAAGATGTAGCCATCCCATGTTGGGAGAGATTCTTGCCATTCTGCTGTCATCTTGATTTTTTCTTTTTGGGTGTGTAACAAAGAAAATGGATCCCATGGGGCAGCTCTCACACTTGTTACCCTCCATTTCCTCAGTCTAACTGAGTGTAAGTAATGGAACTGTGTTTTAATGGCCCACTCTCCCAAACGCCCTCCTAACCCTTCAGCAGAGCTGCTTTGTAGCTGACAAATATGACAGGCAAGGCTAACGAACCCTTAGGCCAGCAATATTCTCATCTTTAATCCATCACAGACATCAAAAAATAATGAGATTTCTTGAAACCATGCCAACAGTGAGCTCATATGACACTGAGATGATGAATTTACTCAACCACTTACAAAGAAGTAGCCAGCACACCAAAAGACCCAGGTAATTTCACAAGGCAGAGTGGCACTGCCTGGAAACATTAATGTTTGCCACATTTTCTAGGTGGTGTCTCATCCCAGAATCTAGTCCATTTGAATTTTTATCCCTGATTCTAAGTTGTGCCTGTTATTTCTTAGTGTGTTGCATGGAAATTTAATTCTGCCATCCTTCTCCCGGGAAAGCTGATAAGGGATACTCAAGCTTATGTGCATCATGCTATTGCTGCTGTAAAACTGTGATAAAATGAGACATTTTAAAAAGAGAGTTATTTTTTTTTAAAATGGAGAATTTGTGTTTGTTTATTTGCTTGTATTTTAAGATTTAAGTTGAAATGGTATAATCCGGGGGACCTGAATATGATTTTGTAGTTTTGGGTATTTTATTTGTATTACATTGATAAACTATAGGTGTATATATATAATGCTTAAATATACTTATGGGGTAAAAAGTATGTTATGATTTTGGAATACAATGTAGAATGCATAAATCATGCTAATTAACATCTATCACCTCAAGTATTACTATTATTTTGTGACAGCATTTGAAATTTACTCTCTTAGCAATACTGAAATCTATAGTAGTCAATTATAAGCTATGTTTACCATGCTGTGCAATGGATCTCCAAAAAAAACAAACAAACAAACAAACAAAATAAATCAAACTTATTCCTCCTATCTAAGAGGCTTGTACTCTTCAGTTACCATCTCCCTGTTCTCCACCCTGCCCCAGCCCCTGCAATCAGCTTTCTACTCTCTGCTTCTATGAGTTAAATAGTTTTAGATTTCACATATAAGTGAGAACACATGATATTTTGCTTTCTGTGTTTGGCTATTTCATTTAGCCTAATGTTCTCTAGTTTCATCCACATTGTCACAATTGACAGAATTTCTTTCCTTTTTAAGGCTGAATAATATTCCATAGTGTATGTATACCACATTTTCTTTATCCTTTCATACCTTGATGGACACTTCTTGGCTATAGTGAATAGTGCTACAGTGAATACAGAAATGCAGACATGTCTTTGACATTCTGATTTCAAATCTTTGGGTAAATACCCAGTAGTGGGATTGCTAGGTCATATGATAATTCTATTTTTAGTTTTTTAAGGAATCTCCAAACTGTTTTTCATAATGGTTGTGCTGATTTACATCCTCACCAACAGTGTATAAGGGTTCTCTTGTCTCTACATCCTTGCCAACACTTGTTATCATTTGTCTTCTGATAATAGACATTCTAACAGTTGTGAAGTCATTTTAATTTGCATCTTCTTATGATTAGTAATGTTGAGCACTTTCTCATATATCTAATAGCCATTCGTATGTCTTTTTTGAGAAATGTCTATTCAGGTCCTTTGTTCATTTCTTAATCACAGTATTTGTTTTTCTTCTATGGAATTGTTTGGGTTCCTTCTATATTTTGGAGATAGATCTCTTATCAGATATATGACTTGCAAATATTTCTCCCAAACTGTAAGTTCATTGTTTCTTTTATTGTGCAGACACTTTTAAATTTTGATGTAACTCCATTTGTGTACTTTTGCTTTTGTTGCCTATGCTTTTAGGGTCAAATCTAAAAAAATCATTGCCCAAATCAATGTAATGGAGTTTTTCTCCTATGTTTTCCTCTAGCAGTTTCATAGTTTCAAGTCTTATGTTTAAAGTCTTTAATACACTTTGAGGTGATTTTTGTCCATATGATTTTTGTCCTTTATTCTGCTGATGTGGTGTATCATATTTATCAATTTGTGAATGTTGAATCATCCTTGTATCTTAGGGACGAATCTCTCTGGATTATGGTGAATGATCCTTTTAATGTGTTGCTGAATTCAGTTTGCTAGTATTTAGTTGTGGAGTTTTGCATCACGTTCATTAATGACATTGGCCTGTAGTTTTCTTTTCATGTGATGTCCTTGTCTGGCTTTGGTATCAGAAAAATATCGGCCTTGTAAACAGAGTTTAGAAGTGTTCCCTTCTCTTTAATTTCTTGAAAAGTTTGTAGAGAATTGGTATTAACTCTGTTACTGACAAAGCTGGTTCCCCAAAAGATGGGGTCCTTCTCTGTTCAGTATCACAAAGCCAATATCTAAAACTGAAATTGTCAAGCAGTGCAGGCTTTATTCAATGGCCATGGGATTGAGAAGTAAAAGCATGGCTCACAAATCAACTTCTCAACTAGTGAGGGGTGAAAGGGTTAAAATATAGGATTTCTCTAATGAAAGGGTTCGCCTTAAAAGTGAGAAGAGGAATATTCATGTCTTTTCTGGTAATGGGAGGGAAATGTCCCAGAACCTGAGAGCTGCCTTTCCTTTTGTCCTTTCATGGCTTCTTTTGGTCATTGTCATGGTGATTGTCAGTGGTCATGGTGCCATTTAGCATGGAAATGTGATCATAATGGAGCCTGAGGTCTTTTTGAAGTGTTTTGATTGGCTGTCTTGGTTCTTACCAGTCTCAGCTCATAAAGGTTACAAAGGGAATTTTTTATTACAGGTGTCCTGTTTCTTAAAGATAAGCAGAGTTAAAGCTGGGTAGAAATTCAGCTATGTCATATTACCATTAAACTGTGTAACAAATTCCTCCTTTTCTCTACATTTACTCCTCATTCTTGAGGGGTATGAAGGGATGAAGGTCCATCTTCTATAACTTCTTTAAGCTGAATCCAGGTGTTGATATGGGACCCATTAGAGCAGTGAAATCTTTCCTAGCTAGTCTTGGGTAGGTCTAGTTATCTCCTGGGTATAAGCCTAGCTGTTCATATTGCTATATGGCCTCAACTTGCTTAGACACAAAAGAAACAAGGCAGTTTAAGAAACGGGGCCCAAAGATCAAGAGAAGTAGGATATCAGCTAAAGTGCCCAGGAAGGGTAAGAACCATGTGAGATTAGAGATGGCCTGTTTTATAATTTTTCCATATTCCCTGAGGGCCCATGCCCTTTTGGTTAAATTGGTGCAACCACTTGGTCTGGTTGTAGATGACTTTAATGTATTTTTTAATTTATCTAAAATTATTTACCCAAGCACAACAGGAAGTGTTGGTGACTACACACACCCTACCTTGTTCTGCCAAGAGGTCATCAAGAGCCGGATGGTTATAACGCACGATATTGGCTAGTAAGTCTGGGGAGACTGTGAGGCAGATAACGCCATCGCTGGTCTTATAGGCTGAAGTTTCTATAACTGTTTCAAAGTTGTGGAGGGTAACTTTATTGTAGGCAAACCTTCCCTAAGGGGCAAGGAGACTGCCCACTATCCTGATGCCAGCCAGAATAAGCCTAATCGCCGTTTTATTCCTTGAGCAAGAAGGGAATGGAAAACAATTAAATATTTTGACTTGTCTGGGCGTTAGGTTCTCTAACTGCACTCTCCTTGATGTCATGTGTTTTCCAAACAGGGGTAGACTCTGGATGAAACAAGGTGACTCCAAGAGCAAAGCTTAGAATACCTGAATACCTGCAAGCAAGACAAGTAGATTAAGTCCTGACAGAAAAGTATACGCGGGCCCAAGGTAACCTATCTGTTTGAGGTTTCTTGTCCATCCTTTTGAAAAGGAACCTTAGGTCTGAGAGTGCTTCAGCTCGGTAAGTGGCACTTTCTTCCTTAGGTTCTGTGGCTGCCTTTATCTGGGTGTGGTGGACCCAAGGCGTCACTCCCTGTAACTCTAAGGCAGAGTTAGTTGTGAGAATTACCAGATAAGGTCTTGTCTATTTAGGTTCTAAATAATCTTGTGGTCTTCCCACTTTTAGGTTTTTAACAAAACCCAGTCCTGGGTTGTAAAAGATGAAGGGCCAAATGAGATGATGAAGGTAATCCTTGAATTCTGTATTCCTGAAAGGCCTTTATTATTTTTCTAACCTTGGTAGCATATTTTATTTTTTTCATGTTTCTGAGGACCTCCTGGTTACCTTACCAGACCTGGACCAGTTGGCCATACATTAGCTCATAAGGGCTCAGTTTGATTTTTCCTTTTGGAGTTTTTCTTATTTTTAACAAGGCTGTGGGGAGTAATGAAATCCATGGGAGATGGGTTTTCTGGCTTACTTTGGCTAAAGTCCTTTTAAGGGTCTGGTTGGTGTGCTCTATTTTGCCTGAGACTGTGGTCTCCAGGTGGTATGTAGAGATCATTTTATTTCTAAGCTCCAAGAAGCAGCCTTAGTAATGAAAGCTATAAATGCTGGTTTATTATCACTGTGGATTGACCAAGGCAGCTTGAATCTGGGGACGTTTGCCACCTCATGTGCAATTTCAGTGTGGGTGGCAAAGGCTTCTACCCATCCTGAAAAGGTGTCTGTAAGAACCAGGAGGTATATACGTTTTTAAAGCCCCTGGGCATAACTGTGAAACCGATTTACCAATCTTTCCCTGGGTGTCTACCTTGGTATTAGACCAGCTGAGTAGGCTCCCTTCCCTTCTCCCCACCCACTGCATAAGGTGGATATTAGGGTTATTAACATAGCAGATGGGGCTAGTCTCAACCACCTCTTTGATTAGCTCCCTGAGGGTTGGGACAGTTATACTTTTGCAAAGCCAGTGAAAGGGCCTCTTGATCAGTGAGTGTTAGAATGGTTTTTGTTTTAACGGTCTGCAAGGCAACTGCTTTTGGGAAAAGAAATTGTCCATGAGGGCTTATTAGCCATCTTGACTGATCAGTACTTTTGGTATAACCCCATTTGGAGGCTTTTTTCCATTCCTTTTGAGAGTAAGACAGGATCAAAAGAGCGGGACCCAGGAAAGAAGGTGAAGGTGGCATTTAGAAAGTGACCTTCCCTAAAGTCACCTGTTTTGACACTAGGTTGGCTTTATTCTTTTCTTTGGTTACCTTAACATCCCACTTCTGGTGGCTGCAGTAATGAACTACTGCCACCTGGGCTAGTTTTCTTACAGTCTCTAATAACCTTAAAATGATGGTGCCATTTTTGACCTGTTTATTGTCAGAGGATAACATGCCCCTTTTCCTCTAACTAGTGCCGTGTGTGTGTAAGATGGAATATTAGTACCTGGAATCAGCGTATACTTAAGTGCATTCCCTTCACTCAATTTTTATGCCCTGGTTAGAGCAATAAGCTCTGCCTTCTGTCCCCCAAAAGATGGGGCCTTTCTCTGTTCAGTATCACAAAGCCAATACAATGAAACTGAAAGTGAGGGTCAAGCAGTGCGGGCTTGACGGTGCAGGCTAAGAGCATCCTGGTAGAAGAGTGCCTGCTTCTACGGTATCAGTGAGAGAGACCATAGCACAGCCGGCCCTCCCCTGTTCCTTTTGCATATAGCCTCTCCCATTGGGGAACCACTGGGATTCTGCATTCTCAATAGATTCACATTTAAGGTCCGGCCTACTGGAGTAAACTTACTCCATCACCTCTGAGCAGTTGTGAGATAAGTGACCATCTTCAGGTGGAAGGAGTGTGGCTGTGTTCAAGCTATTAGATACCTTCAGAGTTATGTGATGGTTGTCTGTAACTGGAGAGTATTGCCTGGGGACAGCCATTCTGCCCTGCTTTCATTCATGAAGGTCTGGGTATGGTGGGGAGTCCAGATAGTTAGGGGTTGGCCAAAGGTTAACTTTTCTGCTTCTTTTAAAAGGAGGGCAGTGACTGACACTGACCCAAGGCAAGGGAGTCCAGTGTTTAGCAAGTAATTCCAGTTGCTTGGAAAAGTAGATCGTTTATCCAGGTCAGTGGGCCCAACCTTCAAGTTAGTATTACTAGAGCAATTCCTTCCTCTTATGAAACATAAAGATGAAAAGGTTTGTTTAGGTTGGTTAGGGCTAATGGTGGTGGCCTCGTGAGTTGGGTTTTAAGTTTTCAGAATGCTGGTCAAATTGTGCCATCCATTCAGAAGAATCAGGTGCTCCAGGTCCCTAGCTAAGGCTTCTCTAAATATTGTGGGGGAGTTTTTGGATGCCTGGGTCCACACAGTGATATAGGAGTGGGGCAGGGCAGTGCTGGGTAGAGACAGGCAGGTCCCTGGCAAGGGCTTCACCCCCATGAAACTAGGTGAGGACAGGCACTCCTGCTTTCATGCCCAAATGTTGCATTTTTCAAGACCATCCTGACCCACCAGGCCCCTATCCTAGGCCTATAAAAACCCAAGATCTTAGTGGGCAGACACACAGGCAGCCAGATATCAAGAGGAACACATCAGCAGAAGAAGACACAAGTGGCTGGACGTGAGAGGATGGGGAGGGAGCATGCCATCAGAAGAGCATACCGACAGATGCAGGCAGGCACGCTAGCACATCACAGGCCATCCACTAGTGGGATGAGGCAGAGTTTAGCTAGGGCAGTCAGAGAAAGTCTGCCCAACTCCAGGGGAAAACCATCTCCCCTCTGACTCCCCCATCTGCTGAGAGCTACTTCTACTCAATAAAACCTTGCACTCCTTCTCCAAGCCCACGTGTGATCTGATTTTTCTGGTACACCAAGGCAAGAAACCCTGGGATACAGAAATCGTTCTGTCCTTGTGATAAGGAAGGGGGTCTAATTGAGCTGGTTATCACAAGTCACCTATAGAGGGAAACTAAAAGAGGTCCCTGTAACACACACCCACTGGGGCTTCAGCTGTAAACGTTCACCCCTAGACACTGCCGTGGGGTTGTTGCCCCACAGCCTGCCTGTGTGTATGCTCCCCTAGAGGTTCCAGCAGTGGGGCACTGGAGAAGCAAGCCACACCCGCATCACATTCCCTGCTAGGGGGACAAGGGAACCTTTCCCATTTCAACTGGGGCCTCGCCCAGTATCCTGGAAGGTGAGTGTGAAGGAATGTGAAAATGTTGGGTCTGCCTCTCTTCCAAAACCGTGCCACCTGTCTTTCTTTCCTGCAGGTAAGAGGCTCTGTTTCCCTTCACTGAGTTTTAAATATAAAATAATTAGCAAATCTGGACAAAAATATATCCTAACAATATTGAAGACATGTTTAAAATTTTTATTTTATTAATTTGAAAACCATTTTTATCAAAGATTACTAAATTCTTGTGAACTTGAAGAGCATTTGGACTTACCTAATTCATGAGTACTTATTTAGTTATAAGCCACTTTGGTGGTATGCTAGACTTCCCACATAAGATAATACATCTGTACATACACAAAGATCCAAGAGCTTTTACCTCAGAATTTTAGCCATGAGATACAATACAGACTCACCATTTTATAAGTGATAAAATAGTGGATTTAATTTTTTTTAATTGGAAAATTTGGGTAAAGCAGTATTTATGGCAGTTTTTTTTTTTGTAATCCTCCTTTACAGTTTTTTTTTTCAGTTTCAAATGGGTTTTCAATGTCTCCATTTCAGTTAGACCAGAAATAATAAGTCTTATCTCAGCACCAGCAACTGAATAACAGGGGATTCACAGCAGGCAAAGAAAAGAGAGGAAGATAGCTTTAGAAAACTACTTAACTCAATAAGTGCAGGCTAGCCATTTGAACTCTAAATATTTCTTACCGTGCACAAAGCTACTATTTATCATTGCATGCAGGCATCCCTGATATCTCCTTGAAGGCCAGCTAGGCATCCTTGGCACTTCTCCTTTTAGGAGAGTAGCCAAGGCCACCTTGTCCTTGTGGCTTTGTCAAAGAGTAGGAGGAGGTGTTTTCCAAGAAGGATGAAACCCAAGCTTCTCCAGTGCAAGAAAAATGGTATGTTGGAGGTTTTTACGGATGTAAGAGAACAAACACTAAGAGGAGTAAACAGAGAGAAACAGAGAAGGACACACACACACACACACAAACACAAACACACACACACACACACAATTTACCTATAGGCTATTTCCTAATCCTGCAGTCTGGACTGTCAGCCCTTCAGTTCTTCTCTCATCTTTTCAAGAACCTTTTTCAGGCCCTCTATTTGGGGCATAGCCACCCTTCAGTTCCTTTCTCACCTTTGCTGAGACACTTAAGGGAGTCTTGGGACGTAAGGACCCATTTACTGAGGTTGGGACAGTAATGTGGTGCCAGGAGTCCCCATGCAGAACCATAATCCTGGGAAAATGTCCCATCGTACATTGCTCAGCGGGTCCTTCCCAGTACAGTTTTATAACCCTTTGCCTGCCTGCTTACTCCATCACAACAATAATATATTACATTCCTCAAAGCTGATCCCTGGCACCGAGAGACAGGATAAACGTACATTCTTTGATGTAGGTGTTTATTGGTATGAACATTTTTTTAGAACTGTTTTTGCTGCATCCCATAAGTTATGATATGCTGTGTTTCCATTTTGTTTGTCTCACGATATTTTAAACTTCCCTTTTAATTGGTTGTTCTGGGACATACTGTTTAACTTCTGGGTATTTGCAAATTTACCAAAATTTCTGTTGTTATTGATTGTGACTGGAAAAGATTATTGATATAATTTGATCTTTTCAAATTTGCTAACATTAATATTGTTACCTAACATCAATCTATCCTGGAGAATGTTTTGTATGTTCTTGAGAAGAATGTGTATTCTGTCGGATGGAATATTCTGTATAGGTCAGAATTCTTTGTCAGCTGATGCTGTTGGGTGCCAGTTGCTGGGTCTCCAGGGAGATAAGGGGCTTCCCATATAGGGAGGTGGACCATTTAGTCCAGGGCCCCACACTGGTTAACCAGTTCTGTTACTGACAAAGCTGGTCCCCTATAAGATGGAGTCTTTCCCTGTTCAGTGTCATGAAACCAAATGTGGGAAACTGAAAGTGATTTTCAAGCAGTACAGACTTATTTAATGGTCATGGAATTGAGAAGTGGGAGCATGGCTCATGAGTCAACTTCTTGACTAGCAAATGGTGAGTGGGTTAAAATATGGGGTATCTCTAATGCATGGGGTGGACATTAAAAGTGAGGGAAAGGATATTCATGTCTTTTTTTGTAAATGGGTGGTGAACTTTTTGGAAATGGAGTGCTTCCTCCCTTTTTCTTCCTTTTATGGCTTCTTTTGGTCATTGTCACAGCAATTGTCAACTGTCATGGCACTGAAGGTAGTGTCATTTAGTGTAGAAATAGATTATAATAAAGCCTGAGGTCTTTTTGAAGTCATTTAATTGGCTATCTTGGTTCTAAACAATCTCAAAACAAAGAGGTCTGGTTCTAACCAGTCTGATTACAACGAGAATTTTAATCATAGGCGTCTTGTTTCTTAAAGATAAGCAGAGTTAGGGCAGGGTAGAAATTCAGCTATGTCACATAGCCATTATCCCAGGTAACAGTTCTTTAAATGCTTGGTAGAGTCTAACGATCACACTATCAGGTCCTGGAATTTTCTTTGATGGAAGACTTTTTTTTTTTTTTTTTTTTTTTTTCCAGTCAGAGTCTTGCTCTGTTGCCCAGGCTGGAGGGTAGTGCAGCAATCTCAGCTCACTGCAACCTCTGCCTCCCAGGCTCAAGCAATTCTCATGCCTCAGCCTCCTGAGTAGCTGAGGTTACAGACATGTGCCACCAAGCCTGGCTAATTTTTTTGTATTTTTAGTAGAGACAGGGTTTTACCATGTTGGCCAGGCTGGTTTGGAACTCTTGGCCTCAAGTTGATCTGCTTGCCTTGGCCTCCCAGAGTTCTGGGATTACAGGCATGAGCCACTGCACCCAGCTGAAGACTTTTTATTACTGATTCAATCTCTTTACTCATTATTCCAAAGCATCTTTATTTTTAATGCCTCTTTTACAGTTTTTCTTTTACATTTTTTGGTCTGTTCAGATTTTCTGTTTTTTTTTTTTTTTTTTTTTTTTTTTTTTTTTTTTTGTGATTCAGTCTTGGTAGGTTGTATGTGTCTAGGAATTTATTCATTTCTTCTAGGTTATCCAATTTTTTTTGGCATATAATTGCTTATAACAGTCTCATATTTTTATTTGATGTGAGTTGTAATATCTCCTTTCTAATATCTTGTTTTATTTATTTGAGCCTTTTTTTGTTTTTTCTAGATAAAGATTTGTCAATTTTATCTTTTTGAAGAAAACTCTTCATTTTGTTAATCTTTTGTATTGTTTTCCTAGTCTCTATTTCATTTATTTCTGCTCTGATCTTTATTATTTGTTTTCTTCTGCTAACGTTGGGCTTAGCGTATTCTTCTTTGTCTATTTTCTTAAGACAAAATGTTATTTATTTGTTAATTTTTTTTAAGAGATGGAATCTCACTTTGTCACTCAGGCTGAAGTGCAGTGGCATGATCATAGCTCATGCAGTCTAGACTCCTGGGCTCAAGTGATTCTCCCCCTCAGCCTCCTGAGTAACAGGAATTACAGGTGTGATCTTCCTTTTTGATGTCGGTGTTTATTGGTATAAACTTCTTTTTAGAACTGTTTTTGCTGCATCCCATAAGTTTTGGTATTTTGTGTTTCCATTTTGTCTTGTGATATTTTAAATTTCCCTTTTAACTGGTTGTTCTAGGGGCATATTGTCCTGGAATTATGGCCAACATTCTACAGGGCAACAGGTCATTGATTCTGATCCTGCCAGCCTCCACCCATCTTATTGGTGGGCATCATCCCAGGGTGAACCTGTGAAAGATATTGCTTAGTACTGCTTGGAGGTAAGGTATCTTCAACAAGCAACCTGGAGAAAGGAGGGTTATGGCCCAATTATATGGCTTCTGTGCAAGGCATGAAACCAGGAAGAGGCACATACATTTCTCCAGAAATTGCTCTTGTGGTGGGGGGAGGCAGAAGTGGTGGTGCTCTCTATGATGGACCCAAATCCAGAGAACCATCTGCAGTTTTAGCATCGATTCATAAAGTGTCTAAAGCTGTAGGTGGTCATAGCATAGCACTGAAGATCCTTAAACCCAAAAGTCTGGACACATCCTCATTAACTGGGATACAATGCAGCAACTATGAATGAATATACAATGGGTAGGCAGTATCTGCAATAGTAATAGATCTGAGAATTGAGATCAGTGGAGAGGACCTGTGAACTAGGTCCTCAGAGAATTATTGTCTTTGTATGTAATTTTTCTGTTTGCTTTCAGCTCATTTCTCTGTTCTTCCTCTGCTTTGCTCTGAATTACAGGGAGCTGATTGACCCCACAAATTCAAAAATCACCTTTCTTAGCTTCTTTGTCCATTGGCTTCTGACTAAGCTTCATCAGTGGGAAGCACTAGTGGGAAACTGGAAGGTGGAAGGAAGAGAGAAGCCAGAGTATTCCCCTTACCTTTTTGGTTTCAGACAGTCTTTAGCAGTGGCTGTGTCTCCTTCTCCATAGTCCCAGCTCCCCTAAATTGACTCTGATTTCTCACTGCATGGCCCTGGTTTATCAGTTTGTATAACATCTTCTCCCTGTGTCTTCGCCTTTGCCATCTTAGTAATGCTAGTCACTTCCTGATGTTGCTAATTTGTTCCTTCTTTGTTTTATCATCCTCCTGGAAGCTTTATAACTAGTTTGCCATATAAAATTTGATTTTCTTAATGTAATCACTTGTTATGAGTTTCCTGACACAATTGACTGTCCAAGAGTCTTAGGCAAGAGGGAATACAGAATGTGGGATATGGGGTGGGGTATCTGTTAGCATAGGCTTGCTCCAGCAGGCAGGCTGGGCTGGAATCAAAGGAAAATTGAGCCATAGATTCTAGGGGCAAAACTAGAATCAGGCCTCATAAGCAGCCAATTAGTCTTAGTATGCAAGGGGTTAGGCAGAAAGAAGGAAACTAGTGTAACCAAGTAATATGAGTGAGGTCATAGAGAAGGAAGCACTATTTCAATATTGAAAAAGAAAAATGAATGCAAATGTTTACTAAATATGCTCAAAGTGGTACAATAAAGAGGTTATGTTGCCTAATGCACAGCAAAATTTCTCTTCACTCTTCTCTCTACTCAGTTTCACTCACCATGACTGTTCTTTTACTACACATGTTTAATCTAATTACCTATCTATCTAATCTCTTTCTGGTCCAAACTCTTTCCTTTGCTTTTTCCTTCTCTTGTATCTTTCCTAACACCTCTTCTCTTCCAGAAGGAGCCTTTTCTCATGTAAATCAATCAGAGGGGATGTATGCTTATTATAATTTATTATATTTTTGTGTCTCTCTCACAAAAGATAATAAAAACCAGAATGAAATTTTGAGATATTAGATCAGAATAAACTGGACTGAAAGAAAAGTGGAAAGATGAGCCCAGAGATATTACTCTTATTAGGACTAAAAATTACCTTTTATGTAATGATTTTGCCTTGTCCCTGCAAAAGGAAATCTCTGCTACTGGGACTCAACTGGTTCAAATAGTTGGGATCTAATGCTGCATGTGGAAATCAGCTGTTTTGAATTCAGAGCATGTTCATGCATAGGGATAAATTATGTACTAGGTGGGTTTTCAATGCCACAGAGACCACACTCAATGGATGTTTAATAAATGAATGCATAATATGTGAAGTACAACATGGTATCTGACCAAGAATTCTAGAGAAAAATAGGTACCAGATATAGATATGTTACTATAATAGAATTCATTCAGAATTCCAATTTGGAATAGAAGAAACAAATCCTTCAGGTTATGAACTTGAAATCGCCTTTTCTCATCTTTCCCCTTCTCTACATGCTGATCAAATTCTTTAAACTCCAAGGGGAGCAGATAAAAATAGGTATTTCTAGAAAGACACTTCCCAACCCAGGAACAAAATTTAGAAACTTAGATCTTCTTCTTCTTTTTTTTTTTTTTAATTTGACACGGAGTCTCGCTCTGTTGACAGGCTGGAGTGAGTGCAGCGGCATGATCTCCGCTCACTGCAACCTCCACCTCCTGGGTTCAAGTGATTCTCCTGCCTCAGCCTCCCAAGTAGCTGGGACTACAGGCATGTGCCACCATGCCCAGCTAATTTTTGTATTTTTAGTAGAAACGGGGTTTAGATCTTCTCTTGTTTTTTAATATGGCTCCAAGGAGTGGCTTATGAGCTTCAACTTATTGCTTCTGATTAAGATTTCATTTATCTTTTACTGTTCATCAGAACAGACAATCCTTGCATTCTTTCCTATCCTAGCCTATCTTTAAAATGAACTCAGCTCTTTGGAAGATAATAAGCAGCTTATTGGTAGCAACAAAAGGGGGAATATATCAGAAGTGAAAAATAGCAACAACCTTAGGTGTTCTCAAATATTTTTAAAGTATCAGTTATAAATAACATGAGAGCTACAGATACTAGTTAATGGTAAGAAACTGGACATTTTCCATCTAAGATCAAGATAAGATGAGGATGTCCCCTTTACCACACCTATTCAATACTATCATGGAAGTGGTAGCTAATGCAATAAAACAAGAAAAAGAAAGAAATATAATAGTCTTTGTTCACAAAGAGTGTGATAAAATCCCAATTAACAATGACAACAAAATATACTGGAATTAATAAGGATGCAGGATACTAGGATACTATGTTTTTCTACATACCAGCAATAAACATAACAATGCCATTTGCAATAACACCCAAAAATGGAATATTTGGGCATAAATCTAACAAAATATGTACATAATTTATATGCTAAAAGCTATTAATACGAAACTGTGGAAAATCAAAGAGCTCTAATTGAATGGAGTGATATTCCATGTTCATGGATTAGAAAACTCGGTGTTGTAAAGATGTTTCTTCTTCCCAATTTGCTCTATAGATTCAACATAAATCTCAAATCTATAGATTTCAACTAAATCTCAAAAAGCTATCTTTTCAATATTGACAAATTCATTCTAAAATTTATATAGAAAGGCCAAGAACCTAGAATATCCAATATAATATTGTAGAAGAAGAAAAAGTTGGAGAAATTCTATCCAATTCCAAAACTTACTATAATTTCAGTAAGTAAGAGGAAGGAGGAGGAGGAGGAAGAGGAGGAGTAGGAGGAGGGAAGGATAACAAGAAGGAGAAGAAAAGAAAAAGAAGAAGAAGAAGAAGAAGACCCAATACAAAATAGACAAAGGATAAAACATATGACCAGGCAACTCACCAAAGAAGATACAGAGATGACAAATTAGAATATAAAAAGATGACAACATCATACATCATTAGGGAATTATAAATTAAAACAAGGAAATACTGCTAAATACCTCTTAGAATTGCTAAAAAAAAAAAATCCTCACAAACCCAGTTCTGGTGAGAATGAGGAGGAGCAAAGAGCAACTGAAATCTTACTTATTTCCTCTTGAGAGTGCAAAATGCCACAGTCACTTTAGAAGAGTTTGGCAGTTTTTTTATAAAGCTAAAAATAGTCTTACCTTACCATTATACAGCATTGTGCCATAGGCATTATCCCAACTGACTTGAAAATTTAATGTCCATGCCAAAAACTGCATGTTAAGTTTATAGCAGCTTTAGTCATCATTAAAAAATAAGAATTAATGAAGATGGACTTTAATAAGCAAATGAGTAAACAAACCTTGGTACATTCATATAATAGAATATTAATCAGTGATAAAAAGAAATGAGCCATCAAGCTATGGAAAGATAGAACCTTAAATGCAGATTGCTAAGTGAAAAAGCTGTTCTGAAAAGGCTATATATTGTATAATTTTAATTGTATGATATTCTAAAAGGGACATACAGACAGTAGAATGATTAGTAATTGCCAGGGGTTTGGTTATAGGTGTAGAGAGTTGAATAGTTGAAGCACAGGGGATTGTTTTTAGGGTAGTGAAACTGTTCTGTATGACACTTAATGACACTTTATGCACACTTGAAAACCCATAAAACTTTACAGTATGAGGACAGAACCTTAATGTTTGAAAATTTAAAGAAAAATTAGGAGGTCAGTGAAGCTCAGGATGGAATGCACCATGACAAAATAATCTAACTGTGTCATAGGTGCATGAAACAACCTCATTGAAAGGGGTTGAGGAAAAAGGTGCTGACCTAAATAACTTTAAAATGAGTAGAGTTCGTAAGAATAAAAAGGCAAAAGAAACTGCACATAAGCATTGTATTTCAGTTGATAAAGTTTTTTCCCATGGAGGTATGAGTTAACAATCTTAATATTGTTTTACATATATTTGAACTAAGCAATTAAGTAAATGAATGGCAAATGGTAGGAGCCAGTCTTCTCATTGTTAAAGTAAGAATAACAAACAAGTAAGGGGAAAAGTCTATAATAATCCATATAGTAATGGATTAGAATTAGTGACATCAGTATGGACTCACATTTAACTTAATATAGATAAAAATAGTTACATCTAGAAATTTTTATAGATATGCATATGTACACTGGGTAATACAAACACTTACATTTTCTTGATCTTCCATTAGAGAGAGCCTAAAAAAAAATGGCTGGGCCTCTTGACTTAACACCTGTAATCCCACCAGTTTGGAAGGCCAAGGCAGGAGGATTGCTTGAGCCCAGGCATTTGAAACCAGCCTGGGTAACATAGAGAGACCCTGTAGCAACAAAAAATAAAGTAAATTAGCCAGGCATGGTGGCATGCACCTGTGGTCCCAGCTACTCAGGAGGCTGAGGTGGGAGGATCACTTGAGCCTGGGAGATTGAGGCTGCAGTGAGCTGTGATCCCATCACTGCACTTCAGCCTGGATTGCAGAGCAAGACCTGGTCTCAAAAAAGAAGAAAAAAAAATGATAGGCATTTGTCAAAGAACACAGGAACAAGTTGAAAGACCTCCCAATGGCCAAAGCTGTAACAATTTGTGCAACAAAAAGAGGTAGTATTGTATTATAACCTAAAATATAAAATAAATACCTGTTGACCCATATTGATATAAATAAATAATTGCATATCTCTTGTGCAGCAGAACTCCAAATAATTTATTTAGATACATTGCCTTCAAGGAGGTAGAACATAATTCCCCACTACTTAAAGAGTAGGATGTGCATAATGGCTTCATTCCAAAGAGTACTGTATGTAAAGAGAAAAAAAGAGTAACTTTATAGTGAAAAATTCAGACAAGCACAACTTCAGCCAGTGATAAAGGTCAATATCATCAGTGATAAGTCATTTTGATAGTATGTTCTTTTAATATGATGCCGGAAAGATGACAGTTTACCCTTTGATGTTTCCACCTAAGCTCACAACCTCAGTTTAATCAAGAGAAACACACCAGGCAAATTCCATAGAGATTTGTAGAGAGATGTTCTACCAAATACCTGTCTAGTACTCCTTAAAACTGCCAAGGTTATCAACAACCGAGAAAGTCTGTGTAAATGTCACAGCCAAGAGGAGCCTGAAGAGACAGGACAATTACATGTAATGTGGTATCCTGGGTGGGATTCTGGAACAACAACAACAAAACATATGTAAAACTAAAAAATGTTGAATAAATTGTGGAATTTACTTACTAAAAAGGCATCAATTGTAATAAAACTATCATACTAATGTAAAATATGAAAAACAGGAGAAACCTGGTGTGGCATCTGTAAGAGCTCTCTGTATTATCTTTGCAACTGTTCTAAAAATAAAGTTTATTTAAAAAATAATGTGGAACTTGGAACCAACCCAAATGCCCATCAATGATAGACTGGATAAAGAAAACGTGACACATATACACCATGGAATACTATGCAGCCACATAAAAGGATGAGTTTATGTCCTTCACAGGGACATGGACGAAGCTGGAAACCATCATTCTCAGCAAATTAACACAGGAACAGAAAACCAAACACCACATGTTCTCACTCATAAGTGGGAGTTGAGCAATGAGAACACATGGACACAGGGAGGGGAACATCACACGCCAGGGCCTGTTGGGGGGTGGGGGGTTAGGGGAGGGATAGCATTAGGAGAAATATCTAATGTAGATGACAGGTTGATGGGTGCAGGAAACCACCATGGCATGTATATACCTATGTAACAAACCTGTGCATTCTATACATGTATCCTAGTACTTAAAGTATAATAAATTAAAATAATGTGGAAGAATGAGAAGTGTTATAGAATAAATATGCTTAACCATAAGTTAATAATTATTGAAGCTGCATATAAATACACGGGTCCACTATAATATTCTGTTTACTCATATGCATATTTAACATTTTTATACTAAGATGTTAAAAAGTAAATCAGCAATTTAAAAACTCACCAGAAGAAAAGTTATTCATAATATTTATTCTATTTTCATTGAAAATAGATCCTACTTTCTTCCCATATTTATGAGAACCTCACTTAATCACTGGCAATTTGTTGGACCTGGAATAGAACTTTAACTGCAGTGATTATATAATTTATTGTCCAGAATGGGACACTTTGGAGACTGAAAGGAATGCTATTATATAATTACATTGGGACAACGATAGTCAGCTGGGAGTAATCTGGGTAAAATCAGGTTATCCTGTTTTTTATTCTTTTTTTTTTTTTGACCTAACATGTCCTCTATCTGTGTACTGCTTGCTTCCCCCATCTCCATCTAGGAAAAGGCAATGTTTACATAGATGACAACAGTGAATTTGGGGTTTCTAGAGCCCTGAACTAAGATTAAAGCTAGACTGCTGCCGACTGTTTTCTTTTATCACCAAGAAAGACTTGGAAGTTTAACATAGAAATTAAAGGTGACAGCCTCAGTATGTGGTGGTAAAAAAAGAAGAGAGAACTCGTTAAGACATGCTTCTCCCACCCTCAAACCCTAACACAAAGAAATTCTAGCAACAAATAAGCAGCCAGAATTCAGTGGAGGTTACGGGTCTGGGTCTGTACCAAGTGGGTGAAGGGAGAATGTGGACAAAGGGTAACCTAGTGTGGTGGTGTAATGGCAAAAAGGGCTTCACAGCCCTTTGGGATAGCAATTCCATGAAATGAAATCTAAGTTGGCTTGGTATGTGTTATCATTTTAACAGAAGTTTAACTTTGGAAATTGTTTCAATCTGAACTACTATTGATGTAAAAGCCACATTTCTATACATGTCTGTAAGCATCTTCAGAACAGTACTGCATCTTATGGAGCTTCATTTTTTTAACCACCTTTCACAATGCCCTCAACATTGTAAAGCTCATTGATGTTCATGGAGATGAATCGTTACATGTACATTTCAAAACCTAGAAAAACCCACTATGGAAGATTTTGTCACTGATTTGCAAAAAATGTACTGCACTAAAATGTACAGTTTGTAAGGTCTTAGTTGGCTCAGACCACCTGTATCTGCCTTGCGTGTACAGTGGAATCCTCAGTCTTACCCCATCTAAAATATTCTATTATGTTTCTCACTAATCCAGCAATATTCTTTTATTGATGAAGCTGTCAGAAGAGAGGAAAATCCCAGGGTGAAAAGATTAAGGAAAAGAGAAAATAAGAATGGAAAATGGATGACAGATGAGAAGAAATGGCTTGAAATACCTGTTGGAAATTTCTATCTGATGACACAAACAGTCCATTACCACGGCTTCATAAATTCACATCATAATCTATCTCTCTTCAGTTTTCCTCTTTCCCTGTTGCTTTATAATACATAAAATAATCTAGAGAGAACTACAGAAAATAAAAATTAAAATGCAAACTTATTCCCAACAAGCTTTCTTTTTCTTGTAGATGTTTGCATCACTTTTTAAAATATTTCCCATGGTTTTACTTCATTCATATTAGAACCTAAGCTCTTCAAGAAGACAGTAACTTTTTATTATTTTACTATCATAGACATCAATTAAATATCAGCACATAAGGCTACTGACATTTAATTATCTAAGATTTTTTTTTGAGAAAGTCTTTATTTACCAAGATTTTCAATGACCTTCTGTGTCAAACTCTGGGCTCTTCTTCATCATTGATACTTGCCTTTCTGAGATACTCAATATCATTAAACACCCTCTCCTTCAGGTAGCAGGCTGTTCCATTTTACCATTCTTCCTGCTTGTTCTTCACCTTTTATTTTTTGTCTTTAAAAGAAAAGATTATGTTCTTTCTCCTTTATAAAAATATGTTCCAGCCATACTGAATTACTTCCTGTGCTTTGTGCCCACTGTGCTACCTCATGCCTTCCTGCCTCTCCCTTTACTTCTCCTGACACCTGAAACACCTGCCAACCCCTCTTTGCCAAGTGAATGTTCCTCAATGACTCAGCTGAGATCTGCATTTTTGATGTATTTCCTAATCTTTCCAGGCTAAGACAAGTAAGTTGTTTTGTTCTGTACTCGTCCAATATGCTCTTTAGGTCACTTATTTCATTGTATCGAAAGGATTAATTTTCTTAACTATCTCATTAGATTGTGAGCAGTTTGAGGTCAGGAATTGTGTCTTATTAATCTGAAATGTGTCTAACACATAGAAGGCATAATAAACACATTATTAGTGCTAAGTCAATAAAGATGTGTGCATTATTGTCTAACCATAAAAAATCAGAATTCATTATTCTCTACTATAGAAATCTGTTCACCTTATGTGAGCATCATTTTATTCTCACTGTTATATTTAGGCTTTTGCTGAAACATGCTCCCAGCCCCAAGAAGTCATTCCTCTACCACTTCAGAAGTTGTGGCAGCTATTATATATTTTCAGCCTTGAAAATAGTAAGCCCTATATTTGGATTTGTTGGAAGGAATTAAAGACTGTGCCTTTGGACAAGATAAGCATTTCATTCATTACCCATCATTCCAGAGATACCCCCTGGGTGCTTTCACTTCTATCAGCCTGGTCAGGCTGACATCTGTTGCTTTGTCTCCCAAGACTTCTCTTGAAACTGTGTTAAATTGGATTGAAATATTTCAATTACTTTTCTATATGTAAATTCCGTCCACTATGATGAATTAATTATAACATGAAATCCATGAAATTGTACTATTTTGATCTGAGTTCCTTACTGATTATTATGTGTCCTAATTATCTTTAATATTATGTGTCCTAATTAAGGCTTTTTTCAGGAGGGTTTTGTAACATTGTTGGAACTGTAGGTGAGACCATCAGGGAGTCTAAACTCACGGAATTCATTCTTATCATTTAGTTATTTGCTTTTTCTGAGATCTTCAAGAGAATAAAACACTTGTCCTCTCCGGCTGTGTGCTATTCCAAGCAGGGATATAAAAGTTTTTATGGGTTGCATTGTGTCTTCTCAAAAATCATCATTGAAGTCCTAACCCTCAGTACTTTAGAATGTGACCTCATTTAATGATAAGGTCTTGACAGAGGTTAGCAAGTTAAAATGAGGTCACTCGGTGGGCCCTGATCCAATTTGACTGATGTCCTTGTAAAAAAGAGAAACTTGGAGAAAGATAGACACACAGGGAGATGGCCATGTGAAGATGAAGTCAGTGATCAATGTGATGCATCTATAAGCCAAGGAATGCCAAAGATTAGCAAAAAATCACCCTCTGGTGAAGTCAACTTCTGGGGGACAAGGCATAGAACAGATTTTTCCTCACAGCTCTTGGAAGGCGTTAACCCTTCTCTCACCTTAATCTTGGACTTCTAGCCTCCAGAACTGTGAAATAATAAATTTCTGTTGCTTAAGCCACTCAGTTTGTAGCACTTTGTTATGCAGCCTTAGGAAACTCTTCCAGACCGCTGCTTAAGTACTGTCCCCACAGACCTTTGTGCAATAAGCTATGGCCAGGTGTGCTCATGAAGACACTGGGTAGACATGCATGAGTTTCTAGTCACTACAGAGTAGATGCAGACAAAGAAGTATTGAAAATTGGAATGTAAAGAGGGTGGGGGAAACAGAGAGAGAGAAAGGGCATAAGTGCTGTCACAGTAGGGATTTCCACCAAGTGCCGGTGCAGGAAGAATGTCACGGCTCAAAACCCAAACATAAGGCCCCAGTGATGTCAGCGATTTTGTTTACGAGTAACAGGTCTGTTTATTCATTCAGTATTTATTTATTGAGTGCCTAAAATGTGTCAAGCACTGTTACAGACACTGGGTACTTAGCAATTTTAAAAAAGCATAGAAAAATTCCTGTCTTCAAGGAGTTTACATTCTGGGAAAGAAATAGATAATAACTGAAGACATAAGCAAAATGTGTTACATATCACATGGAGAAAGCTAAAGCAGGAAAGAGCAGGGAGGATAGTGTGTGCATCTGGAGTTGTTTCATTTTGGTCAGTGGTCATACAAGACTACAGATACAAGATGCTATTTTAAGAAAGACCTGATACACGCAAGGAAGGAAGACATGCAGAGTCCAAGGGAAAGTATACTAGGCAGAAACAACATCAAGGAAAGGGGCTCTGAAGTAAGAGCAGGATTGACATGTCTAAAGAACAGAATAGAAAGAAAGCCAGTGCAGCTGGGACAGAGTGAGCATGGGGAGGGGTCCTAAGGGATGAGGCCATAGGGGAAAGTCTTGTGGGGCATGCTAGTGCTTTTGATTTTTAGCCAGTATGAACTGGAAAGCCACTGCATTTTGTAAGCGCATTAGAGACCATCTGACTAGCAGGATTGCTCAGATTGCTATGCTGAGAAGAGACTGAAGGCAGCAGGGGTAAAGGCAGAAGACTGGTTAGGAGGGAGAACATGGTAGCTTTGACAAGGAAGGCGGTGGTGAGATTGGTAGACGGAGTTGATTCTGAATTTAAATTTAAAGTGGAACTAACATGATATACTGACAGAGTAGAGAGGACACAAAGATGGGTCCGAGGTCTTTTTGTTTCTTGGCCCGAGGAAACTGGAAAGCTTGTATTATCATTTTCAGGTATAAGAAAGACAGTAAGAGTAGTATGTTTTGGAAAGAAGATCAGGAGTTGAATTTGGATGTAGAATTATCTTTCCCTGTTTGAATTCGTTCCGTTCCTAGATTTGTGTGACCGAAGGTTAAATAGTAAGAGTTGGGATAAATAGAAAAATCTGTAGTAAGATCCCACTGTCTTAGATATTTAAGTAAAGATGCTGAATAGTTAGCAGAATAGTGGGACATATGATTCTGGACTCTAAGAGGAGAGGTCTGGACTAGTGAGAGAAATTTGCAAAGTATACAAATCTAAGTAGTATTTATAACTGTGAGAGCAGATAAGATCAATAAGTGAGTGAGTATAGACTTGAAAGAAAAAATATCCAAGCACCAAGTCCTGAAGCTCTCCAAAAATATAAGGATGGGAAGATGAGGTAGAAGCTGAAAAGAAACAAAGCGAGTGGCCAATAAGGTAGAAAACCAGGAGAGTGTGATTTCTGAAGCCAAGTAAGTAAGAAAGTAATGCTCAAATGTGCCAAATAATGCTTACATGGCTGATAAAAGGAAATCTCATTTGACAACACGTAGAATATGGGTCAGCTGTGAAGGAGAAAGCTGTGAAGTATATTGAAAGTTGGATTAAATCAAGAATGTGGTTGTTTACTGGGACAAAGCAAGAGAGAGACAAAGGAGTTGACAGTGCATAGAAAAGAATGATTACAACTGATCGTGAAAAACCAACCAGAGAAGGAGGGAAGCAAGGGTATGAAAGGGGAGAGAAAGAGTGAAAAGGTGGGAGGATCAATGGATTGTAGATACCTATGTGGGTAAGGTATTTCTGAAATTCCATCATGTCAGGGAGAAAACTAGAAAAATCATAACAAGTCTAAGGAATAACCATAGAGTAAGTGGCTCAGGGAATGGAAGAAAAGATCACTAGAGAGAGGAATTCAAGGAATTGAGAGACTATGGTATTAGAAGAAATAGCTGCATGGACATTAAAATCACCAAGAATTAAAACAGCGTTGTCTTGGAGAGAGTGACGGTGAGTCTTTAAGAAACAAGGAGAAGTGCTTGAAAGGTTGATCACTGAGGGCAACAAGGAGGGTAGTGGGGCTCATGAAGATGAAATGAGATGCAAAGCTAGGGGTCGAGGTGTGCATGGAGAAGAGTCTGAATTGTTTGCAATAGGAATGGGAGGCAAGGAGGACTGTTAACTTACCTCCAAGCCCAGCAGTAAAGTGCTTGAGGAAGAGAAAAAGCCCTCACTTGAGGGGACCACAAAGGAAGTGTTGTCTTCGTTTTTTTTTTTTTTTTTTTTTAATATTTAAGGCATTTTAATAGCACTTTATTTTATTTTATTTTATTTTATTATTATTATATTTAAGTTTTAGGGTACATGTGCACAATGTGCAGGTTAGTTACATATGTATACATGTGCCATGCTGGTGTGCTGCACCCATTAACTCGTCATTTAGCATTAGGTATATCTCCTAATGCTATCCCTCCTCCCTCCCCCGACCCCACAACAGTCCCCAGAGTGTGATGTTCCCCTTCCTGTGTCCATGTGATCTCATTGTTCAATTCCCACCTATGAGTGAGAACATGCGGTGTTTGGTTTTTTGTCCTTGAGATAGTTTACTGAGAATGATGATTTCCATCTTCATCCATGTCCCTACAAAGGACATGAAATCATCATTTTTTATGGCTGCATAGTATTCCATGGTGTATATGTGCCACATTTTCTTAATCCAGTCTACCACTGTTGGACATTTGGGTTGGTTCCAAGTCTTTGCTATTGTGAATAGTGCCGCAATAAACATACGTGTGCATGTGTCTTTATAGCAGCATGATTTATAGTCCTTTGGGTATATACCCAGTAATGGGATGGCTGGGTCAAATGGTATTTCTAGTTCTAGATCCCTGAGGAATCCCCACACTGACTTCCACAATGGTTGAACTAGTTTACAGTCCCACCAACAGTGTAAAAGTGTTCCTATTTCTCCACATCCTCTCCAGCACTTGTTGTTTCCTGACATTTTAATGACTGGCATTCTAACTGGTGTGAGATGGTATCTCACTGTGGTTTTGATTTTCATTTCTCTGATGGCCAGTGATGGTGAGCATTTTTTAATGTGTTTTTTGGCTGCATAAATGTCTTCTTTTGAGAAGTGTCTGTTCATGTGCTTTGCCCACTTTTAGATGGGGTTGTTTGTTTTTTTCTTGTAAATTTGTTTGAGTTCATTGTAGATTCTGAATATTAGCCCTTTGTCAGATGAGTAGGTTGTGAAAATTGTCTCCCATTCTGTAGGTTGCCTGTTCACTCTGATGGTAGTTTCTTTTGCTGTGCAGAAGCTCTTTAGTTTAATTAGATCCCATTTGTCAGTTTTTGCTTTAGTTGCCATTGCTTTTGGTGTTTTAGACTTGAAGTCCTTGCCCATGCCTATGTCCTGAATGGTATTGCCTAAGTTTTCTTCTAGGATTTTTATGGTTTTAGGTCTAACGTTTAAGTCTTTAATGCATCTTGAGTTAATTTTTGTATAAGGTGTAAGGAAGGGATCCGATTTCAGCTTTCTACATATGGCTAGCCAGTTTTCCCAGCACCATTTATTAAATAGGGAATCGTTTCCCCATTTCTTGTTTTTCTCATGTTTGTCAAAGATCAGATAGTTGTAGATATGTGGCATTATTTCTGAGGGCTCTGTTCTGTTCCATTGGTCCATATCTCTGTTTTGGTACCAGTACCATGCTGTTTTGGTTACTGTAGCCTTGTAGTATAGTTTGAAGTCAGGTAGCGTGATGCCTCCAGCTTTGTTCTTTTGGCTTAGGATTGACTTGGCGACGCGGGCTCTTTTTTGGTTCCATATGAACTTTAAAGTTTTTTCCAATTCTGTGAAGAAAGTCATTGGTAGCTTGATGGGGATGGCATTGAATCTATAAATTCCCTTGGGCAATATGGCCATTTTCACGATATTGATTCTTCCTAACCATGAGCATGGAATGTTCTTCCATTTCTTTGTATCCTCTTTTATTTCACTGAGCAGTGGTTTGTAGTTCTCCTTGAAGAGGTCCTTCACATCCCTTGTAAGTTGGATTCCTAGGTATTTTATTCTCTTTGAAGCAATTGTGAATGGGAGTTCACTCATGATTTGGCTCTCTGTTTGTCTGTTATTGGTGTATAAGAATGCTTGTGATTTTTGCACATTGATTTTGTATCCTGAGACTTTGCTGAAGTTGCTTATCAGCTTAAGGAGATTTTGGGCTGAGACAATGGGGTTTTCTAGATATACAATCATGTCATCTGCAAACAGGGACAATTTGACTTCCTCTTTTCCTAATTGAATACCCTTAATTTCCTTCTCCTGCCTAATTGTCCTGGCCAGAACTTCCAACACTATGTTGAATAGGAGTGGTGAGAGAGGGCATCCCTGTCTTGTGCCAGTTTTCAAAGGGAATGCTTCCAGTTTTTGCCCATTCAGTATGATATTGGCTGTGGGTTTGTCATAGATAGCTCTTATTATTTTGAGATACATCCCATCAATACCTAATTTATTGAGAGTTTTTAGCATGAAGGGTTGTTCAATTTTGTCAAAGGCCTTTTCTGCATCTCTTGAGATAATCATGTGGTTTTTGTCTTTGGTTCTGTTTATATGCTGGATTACATTTATTGATTTGTGTATATTGAACCAGACTTGCATCCCAGTGATGAAGCCCACTTGATCATGGTGGATAAGCTTTTTGATGTGCTGCTGGATTCGGTTTGCCAGTATTTTATTGAGGATTTTTGCATCAATGTTCATCAAGGATATTGGTCTAACATTCTCTTTTTTGGTTGTGTCTCTGCCCGGCTTTGATATCAGGATGATGCTGGCCTCATAAAATGAGTTCGGGAGGATTCCCTCTTTTTCTATCAATTGGAATAGTTTCAGCGGGAATGGTACCAGTTCCTCCTTGTACCTCAAGTAGAATTCGGCTGTGAATCCATCTGGTCCTGGACTCTTTTTGGTTGGTAAGCTATTGATTATTGCCACAATTTCAGAGCCTGTTATTGGTCTATTCAGAGATTCAACTTCTTCCTGGTTTAGTCTTGGGAGGGCATCTGTGTCGAGGAATTTACCCATTTCTTCTAGATTTTCTAGTTTATTTGCGTAGAGGTGTTTGTAGTATTCTCTGATGGTAGTTTGTATTTCTGTGGGATCGGTGGTGATATCCCCTTTATCATTTTTTACTGCATCTATTTGATTCTTCTCTCTTTTCTTCTTTATTAGTCTTGCTAGCAGTCTATCAGTTTTGTTGATCCTTTCAAAAAACCAGCTCCTGGATTCATTAATTTTTTGAAGGGTTTTTTGTGTCTCTACTGCCTTCAGTTCTGCTCTGATTTTAGTCATTTTTTGCCTTCTGCTAGCTTTTGAATGTGTTTGCTCTTGCTTTTCTAGTTCTTTTAATTGTGATGTTAGGGTGCCAATTTTGGATCTTTCGTGCTTTCCCTTGTGGGCATTTAGTGCTATAAATTTCCCTCTAGACACTGCTTTCAATGTGTCTCAGAGATTCTGGTATGTTGTGTCTTTGTTCTCGTTGGTTTCAAAGAACATCTTTATTTCTGCCTTCATTTCGTTATGTTCCCAGTAGTCATTCAGGAGCAGGTTGTTCAGTTTCCATGTAGTTGAGTGGTTTTGAGTGAGTTTCTTAATCCTGAGTTCTAGTTTGATTGCACTGTGGTCTGAGAGACAGTTTGTTATAATTTCTGTTCTTTTACATTTGCTGAGGAGAGCTTTACTTCCAAGTATGTGGTCAATTTTGGAATAGGTGTGGTGTGGTGCTGAAAAAAATGTATATTCTGTTGATTTGGGTGGAGAGTTCTGTAGATGTCTATTAGGTCTGCTTGGTGCAGAGCCGAGTTCAATTCCTGAGTATCCTTGTTAACTTTCTGTCTCATTGATCTGTCTAATGTTGACAGTGGGGTGTTAAAGTCTCCCATTATTATTGTGTGGGAGTCTAAGTCTCTTTGTAGGTCACTCAGGACTTGCTTTATGAATCTGGGTGCTCCTGTATTGGGTGCATATATATTTAGGATCGTTAGCTCTTCTTGTTGAATTGATCCCTTTACCATTATGTAATGGCATTCTTTGACTCTTTTGATCTTTGTTGGTTTAAAGTCTGTTTTATCAGAGACTAGGATTGCAACCCCTGCCTTTTTTTGTTTTCCATTTGCTTGGTAGATCTTCCTCCATCCTTTTGTTTTGAGCCTATGTGTGTCTCTGCACGTGAGGTGGGTTTCCTGAATACAACACACTGATGGGTCTTGACTGTTTATCCAATTTGCCAGTCTGTGTCTTTTAATTGGAGCATTTAGTCCATTTACATTTAAAGTTAATATTGTTATGTGTGAATTTGATCCTGTCATTATGATGTTAGCTGGTTATTTTGCTCGTTAGTTGATGTAGTTTCTTCCTAGCCTCGATGGTCTTTACAATTTGGCATGATTTTGCAGTGGCTGGTTCCAGTTGTTCCTTTCCATGTTTAGTGCTTCCTTCAGGAGCTCTTTTAGGGCAGGCCTGGTGGTGGCAAAATGTCTCAGCATTTGCTTGTCTCCTTCACTTAATGAAGCTTAGTTTGGCTGGATATGAAATTCTGGGTTGAAAATTCTTTTAAGGATGTTGAATATTGGCCCCCACTCTCTTCTGGCTTGTAGAGTTTCTGCTGAGAGATCAGCCGTTAGTCTGATGGGCTTCCCTTTCTGGGTAACCTGACCTTTCTCTCTGGCTGCCCTTAACATTTTTTCCTTCATTTCAACTTTGGTGAATCTGACAATTATGTGTCTTGGAGTTGCTCTTCTCGAGGAGTATCTTTGTGGTGTTTTCTGTATTTCGTAAATCTGAATGTTGACCTGCCTTGCTAGATTGGGGAAGTTCTCCTGCATAATATCTTGCAGAGTGTTTTCCAACTTGGTTCCATTCTCCCCGTCACTTTCAGGTACACCAATCAGAAGTAGATTTGGTCTTTTCACTAGTCCTATATTTCTTGGAGGCTTTGTTCATTTCTTTTTATTCTTTTTTCTCTAAACTTCTCTTCTTGCTTCATTTCATTCATTTCATCTTCTATCACTGATACCCTTTCTTCCAGTTGATCGCATCGGCTCATGAGGCTTCTGCATTCTTCACGTAGTTCTTAAGCCTTGGCTTTTAGCTCCATCAGCTCCTTTAAGCACTTCTCTGTATTGGTTATTCTAGTTATACATTCGTCTAAATTTTTTTCAAAGTTTTTAACTTCTTTGCCTTTGGTTTGAATTTCCTCCTGTGGCTCGGAGTACTTTGATCATCTGAAGCCTTCTTCTCTCAGCTCCTCAAAGTCATTTTCTGTCCAGCTTTGTTCCGTTGCTGGTGAGGAGCTGCGTTCCTTTGAAGGAGGAGAGGCGCTCTGTCTTTCAGATTTTCCAGTTTTTCTGCTCTGTTTTTTCCCATCTTTGTGGTTTTATCTACTTTTGGTCTTTGATGATGGTGATGTACAGATGGGTTTTTGTTGTGGATGTCCTTTCTGTTTGTTAGTTTTCCTTCTAACAGATGGGACCCTCAGCTGCAGGTCTGTTGGAGTTTGCTAGAGGTCCACTGCAGACCCTGTTTGCCTGGGTATCCACGGCGGTTGCTGCAGAACAGCGGATTTTCGTCAACCGCAAATGCTGCTGTCTGATCGTTCCTCTGGAAGTTTTGTCTCAGAGGAGTACCCGGCCGTCTGAGGTGTCAGTCTGCCCTTACTGGGAGGTGCCTCCCAGTTAGGCTGCTCGGTGGTCAGGGGCCAGGGACCCACTTGAGGAGGCAGTCTGTCGGTTCTCAGATCTCCAGCTGTGTACTGGGAGAACTACTGCTCCAGGAAGTCTTGTCTTTAAGGGAGGCCCCATTTTCATTTAGAGCCAGATAGAGAAGTGAGCAGTTGAAGGATTTGAGAGTATAGGATATTTTGCTGATGAATTTTTCCCTTTAAATTCCAGAGAGTATAATAGAAGGGTTTCAGGAATCAGGAAGGGAATATACAAAAATTATGGAAATTAGACAGTGAAGGATGACCTGGGACACCTGGGTTTCTGTGACTGACAAAAACATAAATAAAGAATATGATAAAATAAGTCCTGATGGTTCCAAGGCATATCAAAGTGGAATATCTATCAGTGTTGTTTGGGGGAAGGTTGGAAGTCTTGCCGGGAGTTCTGGGGTTCTTGCGAGACTCCTGCTGATGAATGCATATAGGAAGGGAGAAGTGCCCTCTCCCTCTGAGCATGCAAGTTCCTGATGCTTCTCTGGCGGATCATTAGACTTCTTTAATATCTGTCAATAGATGGAAGCTTGTAGATCAGAAGGACCCAAAATGTACAAGGTTCTTATCTGACCTTTACAAATGGAGGCCAGCATGCTAGTGCAGGTTGTTTCTAGGCAGTGATATGACCCCTCTAAGAAGCAGTAGAAAGAACTGCCTTTCAGCTCTGGCAGATTTCACACCCACTTGGGCCACTGAACCAACTGAATATGTCTCTAAATGATACAGAAGCGACCTGCTGTGGGTTTGGCTTTACTCAGGAGTATAATTTTCATATATATATGTATATATGTGTGTGTATATATATGTGTATGTGTGTGTGTGTATATATATATGTACATATGTATTTTTTGTGCTCAATTAAGTTTGTGAGAAGAAGCCAATATGTTCTGTGAGGCTCATTTTCTTCCAGTCTTCTAATCTAGTCCCACTTCTCTATAACTAAGGCCCAGGATACTATGGTTATAACTTCATCTTTAATATGTAGTGTTCTTAGCTCTGTTGTGACAGAGACACACCCAAGTACCCTGACAATTCCCTCTGGCTTTTGTACCTAATACATACATTTAGGTCATGGCTCAAACATAACACAGAAAATCAAACAGCAGATACATAGGTATTTCAAAGTAGGGCATTTTCTAATTAATTACCTAAATCGAGTCCCAGTTGGAGTGCAAATGGTAAAGAGACAGCATTTCTTTTATAGAGGGGGCTGCTGACAGAAGACCCAATGAAAACTACTAAAGTCACTGCATAGTTTGTTCTTTTTCTTTTGGGAACACTGGTAAAATTTCAAGGCAATTCAAGAGAAAAACGTATCAATTACTGTGTAAATCCCATTGAGCACCTCAGGTTTTGCAGCATTTCATATTATTTTTATTTGGGAGTAGCAAATTTATACAATTTCTGACTATTGCTTAATGATTACAAGACTCTATACTGTGCCAAACCATCATCTATCAATTCGCAAGCTGCCTAGTTAACTAGTGTGCCTCCTGCTGAAATTGTAACTCCAGATTAATGTCAAACCCTTGCAATTTACAGAGTGTCTGCATATCCAAGCCAGAAAAGACACAGTTTTCAAAATCTAGAAAAGACATCCCCTCCACATTTGCTTGAAAAATATAGATTAAGATTTTTCCCTACAATGAGAGTGTAAGAGTTTGGGAACTCCCGAATTTCTTCCATTATGGAATAGCTTACATTTCTCTTTGTAACACTTGCTTTCAGGCCCATGTCCTAGGTGACCTCTCTTCCTAGGACTGCTTATGCTGCCCCTCACTGATAGCTGGGTTTTCCTTTTCTTAATTTGAGTTAGACTTATGATTATGTATGGTCACCTGATTGAGCTATCTGGCTGTGCAGCTGAGCTCCCATGTTCATTCCTAAATGTCTTTCACTGGCAAACAGTCCTGAGACCTGAGATATGTGGGGTGAATTTTGGTGGCCTTGTAGCTTTCAAGTAACAGTATTTCCAACTGCCGTACTGAACCAGCCCAGTGTCCAGGATACTCCATTTTCAAATTCCCTAATGTGGTCAAATTGTGTAATTTCTGTAAATGTTTGTTTTTACATCTGTAATATGGAGAGAACAATACTTACTTCATGGGGTTGCTGGAATGCTAACATGAGTCCACACCAAAAGAGAATCTTTATATTCTATTGATGCTTTAGATGCACGACATGCAATCACTTTTATGAACAAATTTTCCAGCATCACCTGCTGCTTTGTATGACTTTTGCATTGGACTGCCAACTGAAATAATGTTGCAATTGTCTCTTCACTGAATTTGACATCATGGTATTTAAAGACTAACTGAATTGCATTTGATATGACTACAACCCCTCAACCTTTAATGTTTATACAAATATACTAGGCATCTTGTTAAATGCAGGTTTGGATTCAGTAAAGTCCAAGATGGGGCCCAAGATTCTACATTTCTTACAAGCTTCGAGATGATGGTGATGCTATGGATTACATTTTGACTATCAGGACTTTAGATAACTGGTTCTCAACATTGTCAAGTCATCTGGGGAGCTTTCAAAACTCAATATTCAGGCTAAATGCCAAAGCGATTAAATCAAAGTCCTACCCTCCCTGCCTTCCTAACTTACTTCTTTTATTAATTCAGGAAATATATACTGAGTGTCTACTATCACTAAATACTATATAAATAATATTGACTAATAAAAACGATTGCTTTCACAAAAATAGAAAAGGAGTTTCAAGAAGAAAATTGAGTATATATTCAGAAATATGCTAATATCCTAAAAGTTACCTTAGGTTGATAAGAATCCTGATACAGAGTGCTTACTTTATACCAGGCACATTGCAGGGGCCAGTTTATCTCATTTTGAGAGGGATAGTATTTCACCATTTTGAGATGAGGTTCAGAAAAAGTCGTTCGAATTTAAACATCTGGAAGGAGACAGATGTGGAAGAGAGAATTATGCCTCTCTTAGTTTACAGGCCCTTTTCTTTCTACCACATCTATTCTCAGGTGTTCCCATGCTACCTATATAAGAACTGTACATCTGTAGTATGGGCTCAGGTCATTGGATGCAATTAAATACAATTTAGGAGGGCATGTAATTTATATTTCACACACACACTTTCAAGAGCTATAAGCTATCACTTACTGAATTTCAAAGGGGTCTGATTTATTTATAATTGATTATGTTAGTGAGGGTAGGTTAACTGCTATTAAAATTATATCAAAAATATCACCAGTTTAGTGCACCGTAATTCACGCAACCATCTTAAGGCGATGTTCTTTGTCTTAGCAGCTGTCCTTGTAGTAGTGACTAAGGTATGCAAGCTCCTGTGGCTCTGCCTTCCCCTAGGTCATTTGAGTTCTCTCTGAGGCAGATGGGCAAAGTGCATGGAGGATCTCACGTAGGAAGTTTTGTGGGAGATAACTGTGTGTCATGCATTACTTCCACCCACATCCCAATGGCTAAAATGCATGTGCATGGCTCTATCTAACTGCAAGGGAGCCTGGAAAATGTAGTCTACCTGGGTACTAAAAAGAAAAAGAGAAAAAAGATTTTTTTCAACTAAAATAAAATATAAAATGCAGATATAATTGTTTAGTTCACATGTGTGGAACAACACTTGCCATGACTTTTTCTTTCTTTTACTATTTCTGGTTCTTTTAAAAATTACTCATTAATATTTTCCAAATGAGATACTACCACTTCGTGTCATTGACAAGGGAAGGGTAAATGCTCAGAGAGTAGGAGAAATGCACCTCTGAACACGCCTGCTTTAATTGCCTTGTTTCTGAGACTCTAAGTTTAGTGAAACCACACCATCCCCTCACTCTTAAGTAGAATTCTGTGCATGCCATTCTTTACCAGGGTAAGATATACCTTTATATTTCTTCATTCCATTCTCATCATTTTATGCTAGAAACACAGGAAGTCTGAACTCAAATGTCAATGTACCAGATACAAGATATCATATTAACTTTGATTCAGGTGCTGTTAAAGAATAATACATTCTATGATGAGCATTTAAATTTTTTATGTAAGTATCTATTTTGGACGCCTTTTTAATTGACTGTTCTTTGAGGTAATAAAATTTTAATATATAAGCTGTCACTTATCTTGCAGCTTTTCAAATTCTTTAAATTTTTCCTACATTAGGAAAAAAGTCTTCAAAGCTTACTATGCCTTTAACACAACTTACCGATAACTACTGACTATTTAAGAGAGAAAAGGTACTGGATTGGGCTGTCTACAGATAGCAACAGCCGGAATAATGAGAGAAGAACAGTAGGCGAGATCAGAAGTGGGTTTAAGTTAGCCGGAAGCAAGTGAACCCAGTATAGACCTCCTGTTTAATATTCTGAACTAGAACCACAAAGCCTTAAATCTGGAGGCTATGCTCTATTTGCATGAGCCAGTTATAAACCCCATGCCTTTTTGTGATCATTACATCTTGTTACAGGTTTGCTCAGGTTTTCTGAGGCAGTTCCTCAAAATCAGATAACCTTTAGGATTTGGTAAAACCTCACGATGGTCATCCTGGAAAGTGGCACCACTTTGGAATATAGGCCATCTGGAGTGGTTTTTCCCAACCCTCTGAATAAGGCAGTCAATGTATGTGACAATTTGGTCAACACCCTGTCAGCAATAAATAGCTGCATCCATATGGTTTCTTATGCCCAGTTTACATTGTGCTTAAGCCAGGCTTTGAATCCCTTCCAATTCCAACCACATGAGAGAAAACGCATTAACAAACACATGAAAGAGACCTGTTTTCACTTTGTCCATTTTCATTAAGATTGGAAAACCCGTAATCTTCCCATTCAAGAGCTCATTTGCTAAATGAATGATGACTGTGGAGCATGTTGTTTGGAGACATGTATAATTTTCCTTTTACTTGCTTGAATCTCTACACGCACTCCGTCTATTATTATTTTTAAGATAAATTTAGAACAGCAAATACAATCACAGTCATGCATATCACATAATGATGTTTTGGTCAACAACAAACCATGTATAGGGTGATTGCTCCATAATATTATTTCCAAGCTGAAAAATTTCAAATCCCTAGTGATGTCATAGCTATTATAATGTCATAGCATAATGCATTACTAACATATTTGTGGTGATGCTGGTGTAAAAAAATCTGTACCACTGGTTGTATGAAAGTATAGCATATACAATTATGTACAGCATGAAATACTTGATAATGATAATATTGATTTATTTATTACTTTTATCATTTTATTTATTTAATATATATTATTATTTATTTACATTTTTAAAGATGAGTTATTTCTCTGTCACTCTGGCTGGAGTGCAGTGGTATGATCATGGCTCACTGTAGCCTTGAATTCCTGGATTCAAATGATCCTCCTGCCTGAGCCTCCTGAGTAGTTGAGACTGTAGACAAGCACTACCACGCATAGCTAATTTATTTATTTGTTTGTTTGTTTTGATAGAGACAGGCTCTCCCTATGTTGTCCAGGCTGGTCTTAAATATTTGGCCTCAAGCTATCCTCCTACATCAGCCTCCCAAACTGCTGGAATTACAGGCAGGAGTCACTGTACCTAGCTTATCATTTTTTTTTTTAAGAATGTATTTCTTCTACTTAGAAAAAAAGAAGGTTAATTGTAAATCAGGCTTTGACAGATCCTTCAGGAGGTATTTCAGAAGAAGACATTGTTACTATAGAAGATGAAAGCTTCATGCCTGAAGACCTTCCAGTGAGACAAGATGTAGAGGTGGGAGATAGTGATATTGGTGTTCCTGGCCATATGTAGGCCTAGGCTAATATGCATTCTTGTGTCTTTGTTATTTTTTTTTAAGTTTAAAAAGTAAAAAAAAAAGCCTAAAAAAATATAAAAAATTTATATACAGCTGTACAATGTGTTTGTGCCTTAAGCTAAGTGTACTGCAAAAGAGACAAAAGGTTTAAAAAATTAAAATGTTTATAAAGTCAAAAAATTATAGTAATATAAGGTTAATTCACTATTGAAGAAAGACTTTTTTTAAAAAAAAAAAAGAATTAGTGTTAGCTAAGTGTACAGTGTTTATGTCTACAGTAGTATACAGTAATGTTCTAGGCCTTCACATTCACTCACCACTCACTCACTAAGACCCAGAGCAACTTCCGGTTTTGCAAGCTCCATTCACGGTAAATGCCCTATACAGGTATACTATTTTCAAAATCTCTTATATTATGTTTTTACTCTATCTTTTCTATGTTTAGATATGATTAGATACACAAATACTAACACTGGGTTACAATTACCTACAGTATTCAGTACAGTAATATGCTATACAGGTTTGTAGCTTAGAAGCAAGGGACTATATCATATAGCCTAGGTGTGTAATAGGCTATACCATTTAGGTATGTGTAAGTACATTCTATGATGTGTGCACAATGATAAAGTATTCTAATGATACGTTTCTAAAAATATCCTTAAGGTTAGGTGATACATGACTATAACAGCTATTTTTAGAACTACCGTGTACATCTAGGCAGCTGGTGCTGTATGATGGACAAGAGCCTGTAATTATTGCCTTAGCAGACCTGGGTTGTGAGTCCAGTTCTGCCATCTAGGAGCTTCATTACTTAGGACTGGTGATTTAAGCTCTCTGTGAAGTGAAGGGATATGAGAAGACCTCCTTTGGAGTATGTGGAAAGGATTAAGTGTGATGGTGCATGTTGTTTTAGTCTATTTTTCTGCTGCTTTAACAGAATAACACAGACTGGGAAATTTACAAAGAAAAGAGGTTTATTTGCCTTATGGTTCTGGAGGCTGGGACATTCAAGAACATGTGTTGGCATCTTGAGAGAGTCAACCCATTCACTAATGGTGAAAGGGTGGAAGGCAAAAGAGAGCTTGCTTTTATAACAAAGCCACTCAAACAGTAACTAACCCACTTCCTCGATAATGTGATTAATCCATCATGAGAGTAGAGCCTTCACGACCTAATCACTTTTTTAAGCCCCACCTCTTAATATTGTTACAAGGATAATTGCATTTCAACATGAGTTTTAGAGAGGACATTCAAACCACAGCACATGGGAAGTACTCAGTCCAATGAATGGCTGCTGGCAGGTGTTCATCACAGCTATTATTAACATCACCATATGCCAGCACTTAGCAAAAGAACTTACCTTCATTCTCTACTGACACACACAATAGAAAGTGAGTTTTTAAACACTATATTGTAGAGGAAGAAATTTAAACTCAGGGTTGAGCTACATAGGTATGATGCAGAAGAGCTACTTACTCAAGAAAAGTCACGCCATTTTCAAGCTACTCTAGCCTAATGTAGGATGTGTTGAATGACAGCTCTAAAGATATGAAACACGGTTTTCCAAAATAACTACTGACCTAATATATAAGTTGAAAGTAACAAAGCAGAAATGAACGGACATCTTTTTTTTTTTTTTTTTTAGTAGCTAGCTATCTTGTTTGGAATGTCTGCCCTATCTCAAGTATGCAGAGGGAGGAGAAGATGCTGTTATCAAAAATGAAAAGATTTAGTGCTATTCTCACCTTCTAATGACTTTCCTGTGATTGGTGGACATCAAATAATGAAGAAAATATCAACACAAGTTGTGAAAATTCATTCATTTATTTACTTACACATTAACTTACTAATTCATTAAGCATTTATTGAGCACCTACTTGTCAAAAAACATATTGAAAAAAATATGTTGATAAAAACCCTATAATTCTTATCTTGGAGGAACCCACAGTCTAGTTTAATAAAAAAGTTATAAGAGCTATATGTGAATTTCCTTCTTATTTGTATTTTTAAATTTATGTTTATGAGACTGATGCTGGGAACATTTAATGTGATAAGGCAGTGCATATCAAAGTTATAGGCATGGGCTTGGGAGTTAATCAGACCCTGGTTTGAGTCCTTGATCAATCTCATACTAATAGTGTGACAAAATATTGTTTTCTTATCTGTAAAATCAGAATTTTAATTCTTACATTAGAGGTTTTTTTTTTTAAAAAAATTCTTTTTGGTTTTGGGTGCATATGCAGGATGTACAGGTTTGTTACACAGTTAAATGTGTGCCATGGTGGCTGCTGCACCTATCAACCCATCACCTAGGTATTAAGCCCAGCATGCATTAGCTATTCTTTCTAATGCTCTCCCTCTCTCCACCCTACCCCCACAACAGGCCCCAGTGTGTACTGTTCCCCTCCCTGTGTCCATGTGTTCTCATTGTTTAGCTCCCACTTGTAAGTGAGAACATCTGGTGTTTGGTTTTCTGTTTCTGCATTAGTTTGCCGAGGATAACGGCTTCCAGCTCCATCCACATCCTTACAAAAGACATGATCTTGATCCTTTTTATGGCTGCATAGTATTTCATGGTGTATATATACCACATTTTCTTTATCCAGTCTATCATTAATGGGCATTTGGGTTGATTCTATGTCTTTGCTATTGTGAACAGTGATGCAATTAAAATACACATGCATGTATCTTTGTAATGGAATGGTTTGTATTCCCTTTGGGTATATAACCAGTAATGGGATTGCTGGATCAAATGGTGTTTCTGGTTCTAGACCTTTAAGGAATGACCACACTGTCTTCCACAATGGTTGAACTAGTTTATACTCCCACCAACAGTGTAAAAGTGCTCCTATTTCTCCACAACCTTGCCCACATCTGTTATTTCTTGACTTTTTAATAATCGCCATTCAGACTGGCATGAGATGATATCTCATGGTTTTGATTTTCATTTGTCTAATGATCACTGATGTTAAGCTTTTTTTCTACATTTGTTGGCTGCATGAATGTCTTCTTTTGATAAGTGTCTGTTCATGTCCTTTGCCCACTTTTTAATGGGGTTGTTTGTTTTTTTCACTTGCAAATTTGTTTAAGTTCCTTGTAGATTATGGATATTAGACCTTTGTCAGATGGATAGACTGCAAAAATATTCTCCCATTCTGTAGGTTGCCTGTTCACTCTGATAATAGTTTCTTTTGCAGTGCAGAAGATCTGTAGTTCAATTACATCCAATTTGTCAATTTTTGCATTTGTTGCAATTGCTTTTGGTGATTTCGTCATGAAGTCTTTGCCCATGCCTATGTCCTGAATGGTATTGCCTAAATTTTCTTCTATGGCTTTTATAGTTTTGGGTTTTAAATTTAAGTCTTTAATGCATCTTGAGTTACTTTTTGTGTATTGTGTATGGAAGGGGTTCAGTTTCAATTTTCTGCATATGGCTAGCCATTTCTCCCAGCACCATTTATTAAACAGGGAACCATTTTCCCATTTCTTGTTTTTGTCAGATTTGTTAAAAATCAGATGGTTGTAGATGTGCAGTCTTATTTCTGAGTTCTCTATCCTGTTTTATTGTTGTATGTGTCTGTTTTTGTAACATACTATGCTGTTTTGGTTACTAAAGCCTTGTAGTATAGTTTGAACTTGGGTAGTGTGATGCCTCCAGCTTTGTTCTTTTTGCTTAGGATTGTCTTGGCTATTCAAGCTTTATTGGTTCCTTATGAATTTTAAAATAGTTGCTTCTAATTCTGTGAAGAATTTCAATGGTAGTTTAATGGGAATAACATTGAATCTATAAATTACTTTGAGCAGTATGACCATTTTCACGATATTGATTCTTCCTACCTATGAGGATACAATGTTTTTCCATTTGTTTGTCTCCTCTGATTTCCTTGAGCAGTGGTTTGTAGTTCTCCTTAAAGAGGTCCTTTACTTCCCTTGTTGGCTGTCCAAGGTATTTTATTTTCTTTGTAGGAATAGTGAATGGGAGTTCATACATGATTTGCTTCTTTGCTTATCTGTTGTTGGTGTATAGGAATGCTTGTGACTTTTGCCTATTGATTTTGTATCCTAAGACTTTGCTGAAGTTGATTATCAGCTTAAGAAACTCTTGGGCTGAGATGATAGGGTTTTCCAGATATAGGATCATGCCATTTGCAAACAAAGACAATTTGACTTCCTCTCTTCCTATTTAAATACTTTTTATTTCTTTTTCTTGTGTGATTGCCCTGGCCAGAACTTCCAATACTGTATTGAATAGGAGTGGTGAGAGAGGGCATCCTTGTCTTCTGCTGGTTTTCAAAAGAAATGCTTTCAGATTTTGCCCATTCAGTATGATATTGGCTGTGGGTTTGTCATAAATGGCTCTTATTATCTCGATGTATGTTCCCTCAATACCTAGTTCATTGAGAGTTCTTAACATGAAGGGATGTTGAATTTCATTGAAGGTGTTTCTGCATCTACTGAAATAATCATGTGTCTTTTGTCTTTGGTTCCGATTATGTGATAAATTACATTTATTGATTTGCATATATTGAACAAGCCTTGCATTCCAGGGAAAAAGCCAACTTGATTGTAGTGGATAAGCTTTTTGCTGTGCTGCTGGATTCAGTTTGCCAGTATTTTATTGAGAATTTTTGCATCGATGTTCATCAGGGATATTGGTCTGAAGTTTTCTTTTTTTGTTGTTGTGTCTCTGCCAGGTTTTTGTATCAGGATGATGCTGGCCTCATAAAATGAGTTAGGGAAGAGTCCTTTCTTTTCAATTATTTGGAATAGTTTCAGAAGAAAGGATACCACCTTCTCTTTGTACCTCTGGTAGAATTCAGCTGTAAATTCACCTGAATCTGGCCTTTTTTTGGTTGGTAGGCGATTTATTACTGCCTCAATTTCAGAACTTGTTATTGGTCTGTTCAGGGATTCAACTTCTTCCTGGTTCAGTCTTGGGAGGGTGTATGTGTCCAGGAATTTGTCTATTGCTTCCAGATTTTCTAGTTTGTTTGCATAGAGTTGTTTATATTATTCTCTGATGGTTGTTTGTATTTCTGTGGGGTCTGTGGTGATATCCTCTTTATGATTTTTTATTCTGTGTATTTGATTCACCTCTCTTTTCCTCTTTATTAGTCAAGCTAGTGGTCTATTTTATTAATTTTTTCAAAAAAAAGCTCCTAAATTCATTGATTTTTTTGAAGGGTTTTCTGTGTCTATATCTCCTTCAGTTCCACTCTGAGCTTCCTTATTTCTTGTCTTCTGCTAGCCTTGGGGTTTCTTTGCTCTTGGTTCTCTAATTCCTTTAGTTGTGATATTACAACATTGATTGAGATCTTTCTAGCTTTTTGATGTGGACATTTAGTGCTATAAATTTCTCTGAACACCATTTTAGCTGCATTCCACAGACTGGTACATTGTCTCTTTGTTCTCATTAGTTTCAAAAAACTTCTTAATTTCTGCCTTAATTTCATTATTTACCCAGGAGTCATTCTGGAGCAAGTCGTTCAATTTTCATGGAGTTGTATGGTCTTGAGTGAGTTTTTAAATCTTGAGTTCTAATTTGATTGTGCTATGGTATAAGAGATTTTTATTATGATTTCAGTTCTTTTCCATTTGCTGAGGAGTGACTTATTTCCAACTAAGTTATCAGATTTAGAGTAAGTGCCATGTGGCACTGAGAAGACTGTACATCCTGTTGTTTGGGGTGGAGAGTTCTCTAGATATCTACCAGGCCCACTTGATCCAGAGCTGAGTTCAAGTTCTGAATATCTTTGTTAATTTTCTGTCTCAATGATGTGTTTAATATTGACAGTTTGGTGTTAAAGTCTCCCACCATTATTGTGTGAGAGTCTAAGCCTCTTTGTAGTGCTCTAAGAACTTGCTTTATGAATCTGGGTGCTCCTGTATTGGGTGGATATATATTTAGGATAGTTAGCTCTTCTTGTTGAATTGACCCCATTAGCATTATGTAATGCCCTTCTTTGTCTTTTTTGATCTTTGTTGGTTTAAAGTCTATTTTGTCAGAAACTAAGATTGGAACTTCTGCTTTTTTTCTGTTTTCCATTTGCTTGGTACATTTTTCTTTATCCTTTTATTTTGAGTCTATGTGTGTCTTTGCACATGAGATGGGTCTCTTCAATACAGCACAACAACGAATCTTGATTATCCAGTTTGCCATTCTGTGTCTTTTAATTGGGCATTTAGCCCATTTACATTTAAGATTAATATTGTCATGTGTGAATTTGATCCTGTCATCATGATGCTAGCTGGTTATTTTGCACACTAGTTGATGCACTTTCTTCATGCTGTCATTGGTTTTTGTACTTTGGTGTGTTTTTGCAGTAGCTGGTACCAGTTTTTCCTTTCCATATTTAGTACTTCCTTCAGAAGCTCTTGTAATGCAGGCCTGGTGGTGATGAACTCCCTCAGCATTTGCTTGTCTGAAAAGGATTTTATTTCTCCTTTGCTTATGAAGCTTAGTTTGGCTAGATATGAAATTCTAGGTTGGAAATTCTTTTCTTTAAGAATGTTGAATATTGCCCCCTGCTGTCCCCCAATCTCTTCTGGCTTGTAGGATATCTGCTGAGTGGTCTGCTGCTAATCTGGTGAGCTTCTCTTTATAGGTGACCTGATTTTTCTCTCTGGCTGCCCTAACTTTTTTCTTTCATTTTCACCTTGGAAAATCTGGTGATTATGTGTCTTGGGGTTGAGCTTCTCATGGAGTGTCTTACTGTAGTTCTCTGCATTTCCTGAATTTGAATGTTAGTCTGTCTTTTTTGGTAGGGGAACTTCTCCTGGATTATATCCTGAGGTAGTATGTTTTCCAACTTGGTTCTATTCTCCCTGTCTTTTTGAGGTACCCCAATCAGTTATAGGTTCTGTCTTTATACATCATCCCATAGTTCTCAGAGGTTTTGTTCATTCCTTTTCATTCCTTTTTCTCTAATCTTGTCTGCCTGCCTCATTTCAGCAAGATAGTCTTTAAGTTCTGATATCCTTTCTTCCACTTGGTCTATTTGGCTATTGATACTTGTGTTTGCATTGTGAAGTTCTCATGTTATGTTTTTCAGCTCTATCAGGTCATTTTAGTATCTCTCAAAACTTGTTATTCCAGTTAACAGCTCCTGTAATGTTTTATCATGGTTCTTAGCTTCTTTGCATAGGTTAGAACATATTCCTTTAGCACGGTGAAGTTCTTTATTACCCATCTTCTGAAGCCTACTTCTGTCAATTCACCCACCTCAGCCTCAGCCCAGTTCTGTGCCCTGGCTGGAGAAGTTTTTCAATCCTTTTCAGGAAAAGAGACATTCTGGCTTTTTGAGTTTTCAGCATTTTTGTGTTGATTCTTTCTCATCTTCATGAGTTTGTCTACCTTTGATCTTTGATGCTGCTGACCTTTGGGTGGGGTTTTTGTGGGGTCTTTTTTGTTGATGTTGTTGTTGTTGCTCTCTGTTTGTTTTTCTTAGCAGTAAGGCCCGTCTTCCATAGGGCTGCTGCAGTTTGCTGGGGGTCCATTTGAGACCTTATTTGCCTGGGTCCCTCCTACACCTGGAATTATCACCAGTGGAGGCTGCAGGACAGCAAAGATGGCAGCCTGGTCCTTTCTCTGAGATCTCTGTGCCAGAGGGGCACCAACCTGATGCTGGCCAGAATACTCCCGTATGAGGTGTCTGGAGACTCTCAATAGGAGGTCTCACCCAGTCAGGAAGAACAGGATCAGGGACCTGCTTAAATAAGCAGCCTGGCTGCCCCTTTGCAGAGCAGATGTGCTGTGCAGGGGGTAATCCCCCTTGTCTGGGCTATCCTGACTCTCCAGACCTGGTAGGCATAAAAGACTAAGACCGCTGATTCATGATACCATGGCCACCTTTCCTCCTAGGAGCTCCTCTGAGAGAAATCAGAGTTCTGTCCATAAACCCCTGGCTGGCGATGCTGAGAATCCTGCAGGGAGGCCCTGCCCAGTGAGAAGAAATGGGTCAGGGTCCCACTTAAAGAAGTCTTGCCATGAACTCTCACAGCCGCTAGGCTGCGCTGTGGGGAATTCCTCCCAGACCAAACCACCCGGTCTTGCGGACATTGGCAGCAGGGGAATATGACTGACTGGAGCCGCAGTGATGGCAGCCACCCCTCCCTGTCCCCGAATTCAGTCTTCTTAGGCAGTCCCCAGCCTGCTGCATTGGCTGACAGGAATTCCAAGTCAGTAGGTTTTAGCTTGTGGGGGTCTGTGGGAGTGGGGCCTGCTGAGCAAGGCTGCTTGGCTCCCTGGCTTTAGCCCCATCCCATGGGAGTGGATGAATCTCCTGCCACACCAGAGTTCCTGGAGCCAGAGTATGCAAAAACTTCCGTGTTTCAGTGCCTGCTTGAGTGGCCACCCACCCGAGCAGGCACCATGAGTCTGCAGAGCTGTGTGCTTGGGACCCAGGCCCCGGTGGCATGAGCTCACAGGGGGACCTCCTTATCCAGGGGTTGCAGAGATTCATGGGAAAATCATGGTTTTCAGGGCGGGGTAGCACAATCCCTAATCACCTTGGAGAGGGAGCTCCTTTTGCCCCGTGCAGCTTCCAGGTGGGCCCTCGCTCCACCCTGCTTTTCCTCACTCTCCCTGGGTGCACGCCAATCACCCAAGTCAGTCCCAGTGAGAGAACCTGGGTACCTCAATTAAAGATGCAGAATTCACTGACTGTTTTCATTCTTCTCAGTGGGAGCGGCAGACTGGAACTGTTTCTGTTTGGCCATCTTGGCTGTTCCTTTGTGAATTTCTTTCTTTTTAAGGCAATGGCAATTTGAGAATCTTTGTCTTCTTGCAGAAACATGTGTTCTGTATTATAAAAACATGACCCTTCAAAGTGAATATCTTCCTTAAAATTTGGTAAGAATTTATGAATTCATTAACTGTCTCTGTCAGAGTATGATTCAGATAATTATCTTGTATTTCCTTTCTCTAAAGATATTTAATTTAATTAAATTGAACGTAGAATTATCTTTTCATAAATGGAGTAATTAGGTAGAAGTTTTAAGGAGCAACTGACCAGTGGGTGTTATTTATTCTTGATTATTTTGATTAAGAACATGGGCCTTGTGGTTCAGCAATTTGGAATTGAAACCTGCTTCTGCCTTTATTAGCTGTGTAATTTTGAGAAAATTACTTGAAATATAAAAATAGTTAATATTGCCTATTTTTCTAGTGTTATGAAGATTAAGTTGTAAGCACTGAATAATGTTAGATATTATTAGTTATTATTGTTATGTTAGCCAAATCACTTAGCACAAAAAAGTAAAAATGTCCAGGGGAACTCAAGAAAACAAGCAACCTCAAGTGGTCCATATACTTTTTGGAAAAGCACTAACTGTAGAATTCCATTAAAGAATAACTATGTAATGTTGATTACATAAAACCAAATGTAACCCCAAATGTACTTTTATTGTATGATTACTATCAAAAAAATCAAGTATTGAATAATTTTGCTGATAACTCTTTATGAAATTTATTCCAACTTAGCTCAACAATAATTTATTCATCCTCTAATCTACATAAGAAATTATATTATAGGTTGAAGCATAGATAAACACAAATAAGCCCTGATCTGCCCCCTCAAAATGTTTAGAGTTCAGGAAGAAGAGGAAAAATGGATTTCTGCAAGTTGCTTCACTAGAGAAAATAATAATAATATGTCACAAAACAGAGAATGGGAAGTAGCTAAGGAGATTTAAGGACAGGAGAGAGAGAGATACATCTTGGAATTAGATCCTCAGTGGTTGGTTATTAGGTTCCTCAGTCAGTTTGCACTGGTTGGAAGGGTTCTGAATCTGTGATGAGTATTGCTCTCTCGATTCTAGCCTTGGTCCCACCAAAAGAGAACTTTGCAGCCCAAAGCAAATTTGCTTACCCTCTAGGAATTCACTTCCTCACTTACAGCACAGGCTACCTCCCAGGATAGGTATAATGACAAAATTTAAAAAAAATTAATATGAAAAAGCTTTAAAATATGTCACAGAATTAAACAAAAGAGGGATGCAGTTTTATCACTTTTAAGAAACAAAAGATTTTTTCTTTAATTTGGGAATTTTAATTTTATTTATTACATATTTTATTATTAAAAACGAATATTTTATTATATGTCTTTGAAGACAGGCATGTAAATTATTATAAAATATCCTAACTTTGCCTTATAGTGCTTTTTTTTCATTATACTTTAAGTTTTAGGGTACATGTGCACAACATGCATGTTTGTTACATATGTATAAATGTGCCATGTTGGTGTGCTGCACCCATTAACTCATCACTTACATTAGGTATATCTCCTAATGCTATCCCTTTCCCCTCCCGCCACCCCACAACAGGCCCCGGTGTGTGATGTTCCCCTTCCTCTGTCCATGTGTTCTCATTGTTCAATTCCCATCTATGAGTGAGAACATGCGGTGTTTGGTTTTTTGTCCTTGCGATAGTTTGCTGAGAATGATGGTTTCCATCTTCATCCATGTCCCTACAAAGGACATGAACTCATCATTTTTATGACTGCATAGTATTCCATGGTGTATATGTGCCACATTTTCTTAATCCAGTCTATCACTGTTGGACATTTGGGTTGGTTCCAAGTCTTTGCTATTGTGAATAGTGCCACAATAAACATACGTGTGCATGTATCTTTATAGCAGCATGATTTATAATCCTTTGGGTATATACCCAGTAATGGGATGGCTGGGTCAAATGGTATTTCTAGTTCTAGATCCCTGAGGAATCGCCACACTGTCTTCCACAATGGTTGAACTAGTTCACAGTCCCACCAACAGTGTAAAAGTGTTCCTATTTCTCCACATCCTCTCCAGCACCTCTTGTTCCCTGACTTTTAATGATTGTCATTCTAACTGGTGTGAGATGGTATCTCATTGTGGTTTTGATTTGCATTTCTCTGATGGCCAGTGATGGTGAGCATTTTTTCATGTGTCTGTTGGTTGCATAAAAAGTCTTCTTTTTAGAAGTGTCTGTTCATATCCTTTGCCCACTTGTTGATGGGGCTGTTTGATTTTTTCTTGTAAATTTGTTTGAGTTCTTTGTAGATTCTGGATATTAGCCCTTTGTCAGATGAGTAGATTGCAAAAATTGTCTCCCATTCTGTAGGTTGCCTGTTCGCTCTGATGGTAGTTGTTTTTTTTTTTTTTTTCTGCTGTGCAGAAGCTCTTTACTTTAATTAGATCCCATTGGTCCATTTTGGCTTTTGTTGCCATTGCTTTTGGTGTTTTAGACATGAAGTCCTTGCCCATGCCTATGTCCTGAATGGTATTGCCTAGGATTTCTTCTAGGGTTTTTATGGTTTTAGGTATAACATTTAAGTCTTTAATCCATCTTGAATTAATTTTAGCATAAAGTGTAAGGAAGGGATCCAGTTTCAGTTTTCTACATATGGCTAGCCAGTTTTCCCAGCACCATTTATTACATAGGGAATCCTTTCCCCATTTCTTGTTTTTGTCAGGTTTGTCAAAGATCAGACAGTTGTAGATATGTGGCATTATTTCTGAGGGCTCTGTTCTATTCCATTGGTCTAAATCTCTGTTTTGGTACCAGTACCATGCTGTTTTGGTTACTGTAGCCTTGTAGTATAGTTTGAAGTCAGGTAGCATGATGCCTCCGGCTTTGTTCTTTTGGCTTAAGATTGACTTGGCGATGCGGGCTCTTTTTTGGTTCCACATGAACTTTAAAGTAGTTTATTCCAATTCTGTGAAGAAAGTCATTGGTAGCTTGATGGGGATGGCATTGAATCTATAAATTACCTTAGGCAGCATGGCCATTTTCATGATATTGATTCTTCCTACCCATGAGCATGGAATGCTCTTCCATTTGTTTGTATCCTCTTTTATTTCCTTGAGCAGTGGTTTGTAGTTCTCCTTGAAGACGTCCTTCATGTCCCTTGTAAGTTGGATTGCTAGGTATTTTATTCTCTTTGAAGCAGTTCTGAATGGGACTTCACTCACGATTTGGCTGTTTGTCTGTTATTGGTGTATAAGAATGCTTGTGATTCTTGCACATTGATTTTATATCCTGAGACTTTGTGAAGTTGCTTATCAGCTTAAGGAGATTTTGGGCTCAGACGATGGGGTTTTCTAGATATACAATCATGTCATCTGCAAACAGGGACAATTTGACTTCCTCTTTTCCTCATTGAATACCCTTTATTTCCTTCTCTTGCCTGATTGTCCTGGCCAGAACTTCCAACACTACGTTGAATAGGAGTGGTGAGAGAGGGCATGCATGTCTTGGGCCAGTTTTCAAAGGGAATGCTTTCAGTTTTTGCCCATTCAGGATGATATTGACTGTGGATTTGTCATAGATAGCTCTTATTATTTTGAGATACATCCCATCAATACCCAATTTATTGAGAGTTTTTAGCACGAAGCGTTGTTGAATTTTGTCAAAGGCCTTTCCTGCATCTATTGAGATAATCATGTGGTTTTTGTCTTTGGTTCTGTTTATATGCTGGATTACATTTATTGATTTGCATATGTTGAACCAGCCTTGCATCCCAGGGATGAAGCCCACTTGATCATGGTGGATAAGCTTTTTGATGTGCTGCTGGATTCTATTTGCCAGTATTTTATTGAGGACTTTTGCATCAATGTTCATCAGGGATATTGGTCTAAAATTCTCTTTTTTTGTTGTGTCTCTGTCAGGCTTTGGTATCAGGATGATGCTGGCCTCCTAAAATGAGTTAGGGAGGATTCCCTCTTTTTCTATTTATTGGAATAGTTTCAGAAGGAAGGGTACCAGCTCCTCCTTGTACCTCTGGCAGAATTCAGCTGTGAATCCATCTGGTCCTGGACTTTTTTCAGTTGGTAAGCTATTAATTATTGCCTCAATTTCACAGCCTGTTATTGGTCTATTCAGAGACTGAACTTCTTCCTGGTTTATTCTTGGGAGGGTGTATGTGTCGAGGATTTATCCATTTCTTCTTGATTTTCTAGTTTATTTGCATAGAAGTGTTTATTGTATTCTCTGATGGTAGTTCGTATTTCTGTGGGATTGGTGGTGATATCCCCTTTATCATTTTTTATTGCATCTATTTGATTCTTCTCTCTTTTCTTCTTTGTTAGTCTTGCTAGCAGTCTATCAATTTTGTTGCTCTTTTCAAAAAACCAGCTCCTGGATTCATTGATTTTTTGAAGGGATTTTGTGTCTCTATTTCCTTCAGTTCTGCTCTGATCTTAGTTATTTCTTGCCTTCTGCTAGCTTTTGAATGTGATTGCTCTTGCTTCTCTAGTTCTTTTAATTGTGATGTTAGGGTGTCAATTTTAGATCTTTCCTGCTTTGTCTTGTGGGCATTTGGTGCTATAAATTTCCTGCTACAACACTGCTTTAAATGTGTCCCAGAGATTCTGGTATGTTGTGTCTTTGTTCTTGTTGGTTTCAAAGAACATCTTTATTTCTGCCTTCATTTTGTTATGTTCCCAGTAGTCATTCAGGAGCAGGTTGTTCAGTTTCCATGTAGTTGAGTGGTTTTGAGTGAGTTTCTTAATCCTGAGTTCTAGTTTGATTACACTGTGGTCTGAGAGACAGTTTGTTATAATTTCTGTTCCTTTATATTTGCTGAGGAGTGCTTTACTATGTGGTCAGTTTTGGAATAAGTGTGGAGTGGTGCTGAGGAGAATGTATATTCTGTTGATTTGGGGTGGAGAGTTCTGTAGATGTCTGTTATGTCCACTTGGTGCAGAGCCGAGTTCAATTCCTGAATATCCTTTTTAACTTTCTGTCTCGTTGATCTGTCTAATGTTGACAGTGGGGTGTTAAAGTCTCCCATTATTATTGTGTGGGAGTCTAAGTCTCTTTGTAGGTCACTCAGGACTTGCTTTATGAATCTGGGTGCTCCTGTATTGGGTGCATATATATTTAGGATCGTTAGCTCTTCTTGTTGAATTGATCCTTTACCATTATGTAATGGCCTTCTTTGTCTCCTTTGATCTTTGTTGGTTTAAAGTCTGTTTTATCAGAGACTAGGATTGCAACCCCTGCCTTTTTTTGTTTTCCATTTGCTTGGTAGATCTTCCTCCATCCCTTTATTTTGAGCCTATGTGTGTCTCTGCATGTGAGATGGGTTTCCTGAATACAGCACGCTGATGGGTCTTGACTGTTTATCCAATTTGCCAGTCTGTGTCTTTTAATTGGAACATTTGGCCCATTTCCATTTAAGGTTAATATTGTTATGTGTGAATTTGATCCTGTCATTATGATGTTAGCTGGTTATTTTGCTCGTTAGTTGATGCAATTTCTTCCTAGCCTCGATGGTCTTTACAATTTGGCATGTTTTTGCAGTGGCTGGTACCAGTTGTTCCTTTCCATGTTTAGTGCTTCCTTCAGGAGCTCTTTTAGGGCAGGCCTGGTGGTGACAAAATCTCTCAGCATTTGCTTGTCTGTAAAGGATTTTATTTCTCCTTCACTTAATGAAGCTTAGTCTGGCTGGATATGAAATTCTGGGTTGAAAATTCTTTTCTTTAAGAATGTTGAATATTGTCCCCCACTCTCTTCTGGCTTGTAGAGTTTCTGCTGAGAGATCAGCTGTTAGTCTGATGGTCTTCCTTTTGTGGGTAACCCGACCTTTCTCTCTGGCTGCCCTTAACATTTTTTCCTTCATTTCAACTTTGGTGAATCTGATATATGTGTCTTGGAGTTGCTCTTCTGGAGGAATATCTTTGTGGTGTTGTCTGTATTTCCTGAATCTGAATGTTGGCCTGCTTTGCTAGATTGGGGAAGTTCTCCTGGATAATATCCTGCAGAGTGTTTTCCAACTTGGTTCCGTTCTCCCTGTCACTTTCAGGTACACCAATCAGACGTTGATTTGGTCTTTTCACATAGTCCCATATTTCTTGGAGGCTTTGTTTGTTTATTTTTATTCTTTTTTCTCTAAACTCCTCTTCTCACTTCATTTCATTCATTTGATCTTCCATCACTGATAACCTTTCTTCCAGTTGATCAAATCGGTTACTGAAGCTTGTGCATTCGTCATGTAGTTCTCTTGCTGTGGTTTTCAGCTCCATCAGGTCGTTTAAGGACTTCTCTGCCTTGGTTATTCTAGTTAGCCATTCATCTAATCTTTTTTCAAGGTTTTTAAGTTCTTTGCCATGGGTTTGAACTTCCTCCTTTAGTTCAGAGAAGTTTGATCGTCTGAAGCCTTCTTCTCTCAACTCGTCAAAGTCATTCTCCATCCAGCTTTGTTCCATTGCTGGTGAGGAATTGCATTCCTTTGGAGGAGGAGAGGCACTCTGATTTTCAGAATTTTCAGTTTTTATGCTCTGTTTTTTCCCCATCTTTGTGGTTTTATCTACCTTTGGTCTTTGATAATGGTGACGTACAGATGGGGTTTTGGTGTGGATGTCCTTTCTGTTTGTTAGTTTTCCTTCTAACAGTCAGGACCCTCAGCTGCAGGTCTGTTGGAGTTTCCTGGATGTCCACTCCAGACCCTGTTTGCCTGGGTAACAGCAGTGGAGGCTGCAGAACAGTGAATATTGGTGAACAGCAAATGATGCTGCCTGATTGTTCCTCTGGAAGTTTTTTCTCAGAGGAGTACCAGGCCGTGTGAGGTGTCAGTCTGCCCCTACTTGGGGTTGCCTCCCAGTTAGGCTACTCGGGAGTCAGGGACCCACTTGAGGAGGCAGTCTGTCTGTTCTCAGATCTCCACCTGTGTGCTGGGAGAACCACTACTCTCTTCAAAACTGTCAGACAGGGACATTTAAGTCTGCAGAGGTTTCTGCTACCTTTTGTTTGGCTATGCCCTGCTCCCAGAGGTGGAGTCTACAGAGGCAGGCAGGCCTCCTTGAGCTGCGTTGGGGTCCTCCCAGTTGGAGCTTCTGGGCTGCTTTGTTAACCTACTCAAGCCTAGGCAATGGCGGGTGCCCCTCCCCCAGCCTCGCTGCTGCCTTGCAGTTTGATCTCAGACTGCTGTGCTAGCAATGAGCGGGGCTTTGTGGGCATAGGACCCTCCGAGCCACGCGCGGGATATAATCTCCTGGTGTGCTGTTTGCTAAGACCATCGGAAAAGTGCAGTATTAGGGTGGGAGTGACCCGATTTTCCAGGTGCCGTCTGTCACCCCTTTCCTTGTCTAGGAAAGGGAATTCCCTGACCCCTTGCACTTCCCAGGTGAGGCGATGCCTCGCCCTGCTTCGGTTCACACTCAGTGCACTGCACCCACTGTCCTGCACCCACTGTCCGACAATCCCCAGTGAGATGAACCCGGTACTTTAGTTGGAAATGCAGAAATCATTCGTCTTCTGCATCACTCATGCTGGGAGCTATAGACTGGAGCTGTTCCTATTCGGCCATCTTGGAACTGCCCCCCAGATAATCGCCTTATAGTGCTTTCAGGGTAATGTGTGAGAGAACTAGAGCAGTAGTCCCCAACCACTTTAGCACCAGGAATTGGTTTTGCAGAAGACAATTTTTCCACAGACAGTGTGGTGTGGGGAGGATGGTTTCAGAGACTGTTCCACATCAGATCACCAGGCATTAGCTATATTCTCATAAGGAGCGCACAACCTAGGTCCTTTGCATGTGCAGTTCACAATAGGGTTCATGTTCTTATGAGAATCTAATACTGCTGCTGATCTGACAGGAAACAGAGCTCAGCTTTGCTCTCCAGCTGCTCATCTCCTAGTGTGCAGCCTGGTTTCTAACAGGCCATGGACCGAGACCATGGCCTGGGGATTGGGGACCCCTTGAACTAGGGATCAGTAAAAAGTAGGAAAACATTTTGGATTTCTTAAAAATGGTGGCTATTTAAATTAATTCATTATTTTTCTCACCCTTAACTCTCCTGTTATTTGTTAGACAATGAGTATCTGCTAGGTGCTGTGATATGCATAATTTATAAGAAAGGCAGGATTTCTGTCCTTGATGAGCTTAATGTCAAGCTTGGAAGATAGACACAGAATAGGCCGGGTGCAGTGGTTCAAACCTGTAATCCCAGCACTTTGGGAGGCTGAGGTGGTTGGATCACCAGGTCAGGAGTTCTGGACCAGCCTGGCCAACATGGTGAAATCCCAACTCTACTAAAAATATAAAATTTAGAATTTAGCCAGGCATGGTGGCACGCACCTGTAATCCCAGCTACTCGGGAGCCTGAGGCAGGAGAATTGCTTGAACCCAGGAAGCAGAGGTTTCAATTAGCCAAGATTGCACCACTGCACTCCAGCTTGGGTGACAGAGCAAGACTCCGTCACAAAAATAAAAAAAATAAAAAAAATAAAGATAGACACAGAATGTTACTTATATGTAAGTATTATGAAGGAAAAGTACAGAGTACAACAGAAGCATATAGCAGGGAATCTTTTATAACTTAATTTTGGAAGTGACATAACATCACCTCTGCCATATTCTATTGGTCACACTGATCTGGAATCTCCTGGAACAATATACATGGAAACTACCCAAATATATAAACATCAGGAGGTGGAGATCATTGGGGGCCATTTGGAAGCTGGTTATCCAAGGATCCTAGCCTAGATTTGCAATTGTAACATTGTCTTTGCTACTTAGACACACAAAAATAGCTAGTAAATGTGATAAAATAGTTATATATAAAATTTAAGGACAAAACCAAAGAAATATTACAATCTCAATGCTTTTAAATTATTTGTAAGAAGCTAATCATTTGCTGTGGAAAGCATCCATGAGTGATCTGTGTCCAATGCACGTTCAAGAATTCTTGAATCTAGGCATGAAAACCAAGCAATATGGCAGCAGAGAGCCCTGTTTCCCTTTCCACTCACATGGTTACAGAATCATGAATGAACTCAGACTAATCAAATTCAAAGAAGAACAATGTTAGCAAGGGCTAGTGTAACCAGAGAATCTGCAAACTACAAGTACATTAGAGAAGTTCCAGTAGTTGCCTATAGGGATGCTGTCCCTAGCACCTCTGCTATGTGAGGATGTCTGTCTTGCTGCAACACTGTATAGCCTGTTCTGCTAAGGAAACAGAGACACTGGTGGGTTTTTTCCACTAATGCTTATCTAATTCTTCATATAACTATCACTTATTTTAGCAGTATATTTTTCCCCTAATGAGAGAATTGTTTAACCCAACAGTCAAAATAAATAACAATTTAATTTCTGCAGTAAACTGCTCTGACATTTGCTACAATAAACAAGAACAAGATTATGTGCTTGCTTTATCATTTTGAAAAGACTGTTATTAAATATTCAATCCTTAGAAATTGTAATTTATATTTATGGAATATTAGGAGAAATTATATGTGATTATTCATAGATATATATTTGTATTTCAAGTAAATGAGGAAAAAGGAACCAAACTAAAATGCATTTTTGTTTCTCTTTGTCTACTTTATGTACCTTATTTTACTACAAATCTGGAGACCTAGAATTCACTACCCAAAGAATTTGCTATGACCTCATTCTTACCAGATTAAGCTAAGAATGGTAAGAGCATGTGAAAATTCAATAAAGATAGTGATCATTTCTTTAATTATGTAAACATTTGAGGATTTTCTTTTACATTTGGGATCAACAAGCTGATAATATTTGTGTACTATTTTTTAAAAATAACTATTTGTGTGTGTATGCGTTTAATTAATTTTACTTATAAAATGTTTCTATCAGTCCCTTAGCTCAGGGGTTCCCCAACCATCAGGCCGCAGACTGGTACCCTCCATGGTCTGTTATAAACCAGGCCACACAGCAGGAGATGAGTGGTGGGCGAGCCAGCATTACCACCTAAGCTCCTCCTTCTGTCAGATTAGATCAGCAGCAGCATGAGATTCTCAATAGTAGCTTCTACCCTGTATTCCAACTGGGCATGTGAGGGATCTAGATTGTGCACCTATGAGAATATCTGATGATCTGAGGTGGAACACTTTCCAAAACCATTCCCCACAACCCTCCCCCCACCCCGCCCAACAAATCCTTCCCATCCATGGAAAAATTGTCTTCCACGAAACTGGTCTCTGGTGCCAAAAAGGTTGGAGACCACTGCTTAGCTAGTTCTTAAGTGAGACAAATTTGAACACACTGTATAATTAGATTAAAGTAAACATTTCTGAACCCAGCTTTTTTCTTAATTTTACTTTGAGCAACAGGTGATGGTAACTGTGCCTAGTATTTCCTATATTTCATGTTCATGCATGTTTATCAAGCAAGTGCAATATGTAGCATAGCTCCGTAGTGATCCCTGCTTCCTGTGAGAGAGTCGGCTCAAAGTTTATGAATATTTGGAGGATGAGGCAGAGCAGCAATCTTATCAGCTTTAATTTGTCACTCTACAGCTTGCCTCCATATTAAGTCCTCACATCCAGAGATGGTCCATAACTTTGAGATTAGCTAAGCCTATGAGATAATGCATTTTATTTCATTAACCATCTGTGGTGTGCTGCCAGGGATTTATAAATGCTGGTCGATGCTTGTGTTCCCTTAAGGATAATTTTGCAATCAGTCTGCAAAAGATGTGAATAGAAACCACCCAGCCCTGAGGAAAGATGACATCGTCACTCAGATAAATAAAGATATAGGGAAAAAATGATGACTAAATAAAATATATGGTATCTAAGCCAAATTAGAGAAGACAAACTTCCTAGAAGGAGCCATAGAAAGATAAAATAATGAGAACTTTAAAGACAATCTGGTTCTATTTCTTCACTTTAATGATGAGAAAAAATGTGCTCCAAAAAGAGCTTCTTTTCTTCTTCTTTTTCTTTCTTTCTTTTTTTTTTTTTTTTCAGGGTCATGGGCTATGTGAGTTGAAGACAACTCTGAGTCTAGTGTTTTCACTGGGAAGCCTTTCTCTCTGGAGCATCTCACAGAGAGGTTACTGCAAGCACACCACACCCCAGCAGTCTGGGAGCCTGTATTCTTTTAAAACAGAACTTAACAAAGGACACAGACACACAAACCCACAAAAAGATTACTGTTAGCAAACAGATGACTGAATCACTGGGTCTTTTCCACTTTTGATTTGAGGGGTATATGATGATTAATGCAGGATGATGTGAGAGGCTGCTTTCTGCACAAAAAAAGTCTGGAGCACTAGGGAAAAAGTGGAAAAGGAAAAAAAGCTGATGTTCAAAACCACAGAATCATATGTGACAGAAGGAGCCAGAACCTCTCCAACTAAGGCTCACAGAGCACACCACATAGAGGCTAGCGTGGCTCAGGCTGCCTGTGCCAGTCTACTAGGCTGGTACTCTCTGCTCTGAAGGCGGGGGAAGGAAGAGGATTGGAAAGCAGCAAGGTCAGGTGGCTCTGGCACTCTACCTGTAATGCCTTAAACACATCCCAAGGCTTGCATGGACGAAAGATGGGCTTTCTGAGGCTACATGGACTTTAAAGATTGAATACAATTCCAAATGAAGGTACAATTTGCATTTAGCACACATGGATCCCTTTGAAATGTTTCACTGGAGCTGGTGGTAAAAATTTTTGTTTATGAACAAAAATTTTCCAGTTGTCTCTGGATATATTCCTAAGACCCTCTGACTAAACATACACTGCATATATTTGTTTAACATACAATCAGATTGATTCTGTACAAAATATGTAATGTGATTATATTTGCTTATATGGTAAAAAAAAAAAAAAACTTCACATCTGTCTGCATGCATCTGTCAGAAATACCTATGGCAATATACTGACAGAGGAAATTCTTTCACTATTTATTATGCATAATGTGGACTTATAATTGCATAAGAACAGAAACAGAAAAGTTGATGTGAAAATGTACCCCACACTTGGACAATGAATGATTCCCCAGTCCAAGCTTTTAAAGTATTTTACATACAATTCTTAAACAGATTAAAATACAAATATAGATCAAGAATGATTCACCTGATCTTTGCCTGATCCCAAGCTGGCTTATAAAAACCTCACTTAAATTACAGTTTATCTTCTACTGCCCACCAGAATCCCATAGGCTTCATGTATGGAAAATCTAATTCAGAAGGATCAAACTGGGGTTAGGAATGTATGTTTTAAAAAGCTCTAGATATCTAAGTAATTTGTCATATTTTTAACTTTAAGAACTTCTGACTCACAGCACCATCACTTCCCCTAACGCAAATCCCAAACATAAAGTTTACTGTCTCATGCTTGAAGAATATGAGAACTGTTCTGATGAACCAAAGCTGTGAGGACATGGGAAAGAGTAGTTATTCTAAAGGGCCAGTATTAGGCCCAGATGTTTAGGTAAAGAGAATTGAGAGTCAGTCCCTCAAGCTAGCATATCAGACTCCTCAAGGGCAGCATTTGTGTCTCATTTGCATCCTCACTTCTGGCACAGAATTTTATGCTGAAAAGGGCTTGATCAATGAAAGCAGCATTCTCACTGGGGAGAGTGGACCATCAACATTTTTTAAGGTCTATGCAACTCAGAGGAGAAGACCAAAAATTAAAAAGAACTAGGGGAAGTATATTAGATATAGATGTCTATTATCTACTTTCATACTGCATGAAGTTTGGACTAACATTTAAATGATCAAGGACATGGAAGTTGGACAGCTATATTTAGCTCTACTTTAAAAGATCAGTGAGTGGCTCTAGTGTTTATTCCTTGCTTTTCCTCAGAGTGTCATATATCTGTTTCAATAGCTATGGAATCTAATATATACACATAATGTAAGATAAATGTATGTGTATTGATCCCTTTCTCCTAAAATTAATGAGATGAATCTAGCTATTTGCAAAGGATTCATTGATAAGGATGCTGAAAGGAAAGAAACATGGAGGTTAACGGGCCCATTTTGTCATGTAACCATTTTGATGAATAGTGAGAAGGTAGATCCCTGCTGTACTAAAGTCTTTTCTCTTTAAATAAATAATAATGATTTACTTCTATAACCACTGAGCTTTTATGCCTTAGGTCTAACTAAGACTTTAACGGGAGAATAAGGGAGGTACAAGAAGGATACCACCTGAGATAACATGAACTAAGTCTTTATTAACCATAACTTGACATTAGCTGGCAACTCATTTCCTCTAAAATGCAGTATTACAAAGGTTTTACTGTGTGTATACCCATGTCTATATGGTAATGAGATGGGTTTTTTATGTGGTTTATGGAAAGCAGCAATCATTATTTTATAGCCACTTCCCACCCTTTTCCCTATTCTCAGCAGTAAATTCTCTTTCTTTTAATGTTCTCTATATCCCCACCTCAATTTCTAATGTCTCTTAGGTCAACAATGTTCTAAATGTCCAATAAATTCAACTTCAGGTTTCTCTTATTGTTTTTCATCTCTGATCTATCTGAACATACCACTCATTAGGAGTGAGAGCAAGAGAAAAATTTATTTTTGTTGAGAGATTTATATTTAGCATTTTACAATTTCTATTGCATAAACAGGAAAGTTAAATCATATAATAATAAGATGATTGTTTTAGATTACTAAATAGTTCATCTAAAAGGAAAACAGAAAAAAAAGAAACCAACCTGTGTTTAAATATTTTAAGAAATTAAAGGTTTTTTTTTTTTTTTTTTTTTTTTTTTTTTTTTTTTTTTTTACCTAACTTTTAACCAACAAGTTCTTTAGTTAGACAGAAATGGGAAGAAATTGTGGGGTTCAAAGACCATAAGAATACAGCCAGCAGGTTTAGAAAGAAGATTTGTTTGTGGGAAAAAAAGTACAAGTATGTTATCAATTAGAAACATATCATAGCCTTTTTCTGTTGGAAAAAGGAATTATTTTTGGACTGTAACATGTTAGTCTCACGGTGTTTCTCCCCTTAGATTTGGAGTTTAAATAATATTAAAAAAAAAAAAAGCTGTCTGGTTTCCCACAATCCACAGGAGGTTTGTGTGTCTGCACTCTTGCTCACACCCTGAAATTCCGTTATATTAGTCTCCTTCCCTCTCTGGGGAGCAGATGATGCCTCTTCATCTTTGCAGAGCTTGCCTTCACATGGTAATGAAACCCACTAAGGAATGCAAGAAAAATTATGAAAAAAAAAGGCTAGGTTAAATGATACTTCAACTGCTAAATCTCAATGATGTCAGCTCCTCAAGAAACATGTGCATATGTGGTTTCCCCCAAGAAATCCTACCTAAACTTCCTATCCTCCTAGTCTCTGATATTTTTGATATTTTCTCAAATGAAAGAATACCACCAAAGCATACAGCATGTACACACTAAATTATACTTTAAGTACCATATGACATTTACAGAAAGGGTCTTAAAAACACTAAACATCTGTTTGGACATGAAGAGGAAATGACCATTGTGAAATTTCTCAGGAAAATCAGTTTACTGGGAATGACATGGAAGGTCAGGAGCAATTATATTTTCTGTTGCAGCTGCTTAAACACTGGCTAGAAATTAAAACATTGGAATAACTTCTTTGCTTTATGGTCATGATGCAACTCAGTGGTTTTAAACTTGTTACCAAGGACAAGCCAATCCCGAAAATAGGTCCATTTTTCACTAATGCTTTAGAAAAGAAAATGTTTAGCTTTCCCCAGTCTGTCAATCTTGTGGTAAGGAAATGCCACCAGGGTACCTTTATAAGAATTTGGGCTCAGAAACAGCTGTACAAATCATAAAATAAGTTTTTTCCCCTTTAATCCAACTGGCATTCAAGTCAATGAGCATTTTCAGAAACAAATTATAAAGCAGACTCGCTTCGAAACCCAACCTGAAAAGAGAGACACACACAACCATGACAACCTGTTTACAACTGGATATTCTGATTTTCAACACTGGAAAATGAGGGGAAATCGTCTATGATACTGTAAGCAAAGCTCTCCTAGTGTTCTCTACTTGCCTGTAGATGGAAAAGCAAATCAATGCAATAGCCCCAGGTTTCTGGAAGAACGAGAAAAAATGTCCTTGAGAGATGATACGAAGGATATTATTCTTTCACGAACTAATATTCTCTCCTTATTGGTTTTTAAATGAACAAAGGACTTAAATCCCCCAATGGGAAGCTAAATAAAGCCTTTGCAGTACACAGCAATAACAAGTGAATCACTGAAACTAATTTTAACCCCAGAGTGACAGAAATGGTAAACCGTTTCCTTCCCCCTTGCACCCTCCCCTCCCTGCACGCAAAATTTTGCTGTTAGATTTCACCACATTAAAATGTAATTTCATCTTATTCAATGCCTGCCTTTGTTACTTCTAAGAGTCTAGCTTCCTTTCTTCCCACACTAGTAGGGAAGAAGGCACAATTTTTTATTATTTATTTTTAAAAACATATGTGTTTTTTTAAATTTTATTTTATTGTGGTGAGAATGCAACATGAGATCTATTCTTTTCACACATTTTTAAGTGTACAGTATATTATTGTTGACAGTGGTTACAGCAGATCTCTAGAGCCTGTTTATTTTGCTTCACTGAAACTCTGCGCATTTTATTGACAGTGGGCAGAACCATAGCTGCCCTGGTAAGATACTGCCAGTAAGCACTGGCAATTAAATTGGGCAGTGCAATATGTCCCCCACAAGAGTTCTGAAAGCCTGTTGTAAAGATATCTAAGATGGTAGAGTGTGTTTAGGAAAGATCACCTTTCCTGGTTCTCTTCTTTCTCCTATGAGAAAGACTCTGTCAGCGGAGGAGCCAGACACACAGGCCAAGGAGAGGTTTTTTTTATTTAAATCGGTGCAATATGTTCTGAGCCTCTCACCTTGTGCCTTGCACAGAGATTTTGCCCTAAGGAATCTTGCTTCCTGAGTGAGCAGATCTCAGAAAAGCAAACAACAGAGTTCTGTTACAAATAAATTATTATGAAACCATTTCTGTGTTTGAACATCTGAAGGGCTCTGTATGGCTTTGTAGAGCAGCAAGATCTAGAGGAAAGGGATGCTGTGGTAATCACCCAGGACTTAACCCAGGGGATTGAAAAATAACCCAGAGTTTGGCCAGTAGAAGACAAGGGGAAGGTTCAGATTGCTAAACTCAAAGCTGTTGAGAAACTAAGTGTTGATGAGAGAACACTCAAATCATTAGGATAAAAAGAATCAGCAAACTCTTTGGTAGAAAGGTAAACAAAGGGAGATGACCCACCTTCCCCTTTCTTCCCTACCCTCAGTTCTCCGTATTCACTTTGAACAGCTGAGTATCATTCAACAGCAATCAACATTTAATGAGCGCATATTATGAGAGGCAAAGAGCACAATCCTAATCACACATGAGCCAGGCACAGAGCAAGATCCTAATCACATAAAGTGAATCAAGACATGGTTCCTAACCATAACACCCATAAAAATTCTTCAATGGAGTGCTGCCCACACGGCTTTGAATCTATCATTAGTTGGATAATTGATGGTGTGGTTTTTTCAAGGCCTAAACTTTCTGAGTGCTCAATGGGCCAACAACTCTGCAAGCCATTTAAACTGTAATCTTTCTGATTAGACCTATAAGTTAAACATCACCTACCACCATTTTACTGACATGAACTAAATTATGAACAATGAAGAAACTTGCCCAAGCTTTGCTGTAAATGGCAGAATTGAGATTTAGATGTTTTTATGACTCAACACCAATGGGCTGTTAACATGTAAGTGCTGGTGTTCTTCATTTAGGTAGTTTATATAACAGATATTAATTACCTCCTCCTACTGTTGTTTAAAAAGCATTTTATGCAGAAATGGAAACAAAAGAAAAAATGATCATAAAATACAGGTCTTTCTCGTCAATGCGAATGTTCAAATTGGATACACACTCACTTGAATGTATAAATGCATTGTCTCTCCTTCATCCCCCAGGAGATGTGGCTCTGCATATCTGGTTGCCAGAGAGAGATTGCAGCTGGCTGGAAACATTACACAGCACTGTGCGAGCCTGCAGTGCATTATCACTATTATATTTTCTGATTATGGCAAAGATTAAGCTCGCAGCTTCCTCATGTTAGATAGTATTAGCGAAGTTCAGCATGAATAAAGAGAATCAATCCAAACAATAATTTAACCCACTTTTCATGGGTCTGCCAGTTTCCTGTAATCATTAAAAAATTATGTATCACAGATTTCAATTTTGAATGTTATAAACATTTTGATTTCTTTTTACTTTACCCATTTTCCATACAAATTCATTTATATTTTATAAATTAATAAACATGTTAAAAAACTTTCATGGCTGGGCACGGTGGCTAATGCCTGTAATCCCAGCACTTTGGGAGGCCAAGGCGGGCAGATCACAAGGTCAGGAGATCGAGACCATCCTGGCTAATACGGTGAAACCCCGTCTCTACTAAAAATACAAAAAATTAGCTGGGCATGGTGGTGGGTGCCTGTAGTCCCAGCTACTCGGAAGGCTGAGGCAGGAGAATGGCGTGAACCCGGCAGGTGGAGCTTGCAGTGAGCCGAGATCATGCCACTGCACTCCAGCCTGGGTGACAGAGCGAGACTCTGTCTCAAAAAAAAAAAAAAAAAAAAAAAAAAAACTTTCACATAACTAATAGCAAAATAAGTTGGTTACAGATTTTTAATGTTATTAACATAATAATTTCTTTTTATGATTTGTATAGCTGGAAAACAGATTAGGTACAAAACATGCATATTTTAAGTTCACGTGATCTATTCTAAAATATTGTAAAATATATTATTACATACTGACCTTTTAGGTTTATGAAAATATTCACTTGATACATAGTTATGCATTTATTTTTGGAGGGAAGTAGTTCAGTGGATAACCACCAATGAGTAACTGGGAATAGACATAGCATTTAGATGAGATGGCCTTGTAAGTCACATAATAGAACACTGGCTTTCATCCTTAGCCCTTACAAATGGCAACAGAGGTAAGTGAGAGGTATGAAACATTCATTCATTCAATAAATACTTATTAGGCATTTACTATGAAAGGAGCGTATTCCAAGCGGAAGGAAAAACAACTCTGCAAGGTCTATTTTGTATTATTCAATGATGAGAAACAAAATCAGTGTGGATGAAGTAGAATGTGCTGGGGTACAGCTGCAGCAGATGAAGTCAGATGGTATAGATATGTCAAATCATGTTTGGATGTGTTTGTAGGAATACTGAATTCTATTCTCAGTTAAATGGGAAGCTGATGGAGACTATTCATTAGGGGCATTGCATGACCTCAGAATCCAATACTATCTGGACTTGTTTCTGCTCTTTTGATGAATATCTATAAGCTGGATCTTTACGGGCAATATATATTCTTGAGTTCCATGTATAAGAACACCAGTTTAGGGATTATGACTAGGTCCATTAATGGAATATTTAGTGAGAAATATTTGTGAGCCAGAGTTGGGTTGGGGACAGGTTGGAGGAATGTTGGACCAAAAATAAGAAGTAAGCAGATCTTTTGTATTGGCCAAGAATAGATGGATAAGATAGGGAGGAAAAACAAATGACAAATTGGAAATGGTGAGTTATGATGTCACAGCAGAAATAGAGGGGTGGGAGCATCAAAGATGAGTATGTAACCAATACCAGATGATGTTGGTAGCTTCATGGAGTCCAGATGAATTTCTCTAGATAATTTCCTGCCACTACAAATAAGGTCTCATACATGACAGAGTCAAAATTTTGTTAAAATTTCGGTAAAGAATTAAATGATCCCATCTATTTGATAGCATCTTTGAGTTTAATGGACTTTAATTTAATTTTATCTTAAAATAATTTTGCCATTTCTCAGTTGAAAAAACAAAATTTAGAGACTTTAAAGCAAAACGAATAGGGACAAATCAGTTATTAAACTCAAATATTTTGACTCTCAACCCTTTGCTGAGAGTTTTAACCTTGTCACTAATTTAAACTTTTAAAAATATGCTGCTTGCATGATTTCAGACCATTTGAATTGGAAGTTCAACATAACATTTCATATATTTTTAGGAGTCATTGAAATGAAATGTTAATTCAGGCTCTAAATATGTAATTTTCTTGTTCATATTTGATAGTAATTAAAAAGAAGATAGCTGCTGATAGTTGGATTCTTTGGGTAATGAATCTACTACTTAATTGAGTAATGAGATCTTGGACCTTTTGGTGAAGCTTCATTTTTAATACAGACAGGAGCCTAAAATCAAATCTGTGAAATAATTGGATAACTCAGGTTATAATTAAAATCAGGGTATGACAAAAATCATGGGATCGTTTCCTTGCAAATTTGAAATTAAGTAATTAAAGATAAGTGCTGACATTTCTGTTCAACCTCAAGTCTGCCTTGTGTGTATTAAGTAAAAAAGAACATCATTATATGTAAAGAACATACAGGGGCCAGGAATGGTGGCTTATACCTTTAATCCTAGCACTTTAGAAGGCTGAGGCAGGCAGATTGCTTGAGCCCAGCTGTTTGAGACCAGCCTGGGTAACATGGTGAAACCCCATCTCTATAAAAAATAGAAAAATTAGCCAGGCATAGTGGCACACCTGTGGTCCCATCTACTTGGGAGGCTGAAGTGGAAAGATAGTGTGAGCCCAGGAGGTGGAGGCTGCAGTGAGCTTTGATCATGCCATGCACTCCAGCCTGGGTGACAGAGCAAAATCCTGTCAAAAAAAAAAAAAAAAGAAAAACAAAAACAAAAATCATACAAGGAGTTAGTCACTGAAAAATGTCAAAAGTGTCTTGGCAAAGAAGCCAGGATTTTCTTCCCCAATGATTATGTAAAAATCCAATCAAGCAAGCAGATAGATTCTATTCCTCAATAAAATGCTTGTCAAGAAATGAGTAAAATTCTGTAATTGACATCTTGGAAAAACAACAGATGAGTAGAAAAAGAAGCCAAGATATAGTGCCACTGAGTCACAAGTGGTAATAGATACCTGAGAATATATCAGATTTAACAAAAGTAGCATCTAAATAAAAATTTAGAAGATCTGTATCAATTGATCTAATCAATGACTGATTCTGCTCCCCCAGGAGACATTTGACAATGTCTGGAGAGGTTTTTGTTTGTTTGTTTGTTTTTGTTTCAATTTTCACAAATATGGTGCTATTGGCATATAGTGAGTGGAGCTACGGATGCTGCTAAATATCCTACAATACATGTTAAAAGTGCCAAGGTTCAGAAGTACTCATCTAAATAAAGATTTTACTATGAAATCACTTGGAGGAGAATTAGTCTTTCCTAAATTAATTGCAATCAAGAAATCAGTGGTGGATGGTGCCATAAACCAGGGCTAAATAATATAGGAGAGTTGGAGGCACTTTGAGTCACCATCACTAAAAGAGAAAATAAAGGAAAAGTCATGGATGTCCACCACAGAGTACTATACAGCAGTTAGAAACAAAAGGTTAGATAGACTCATAGCACTATACAGAAACAGAGCACTGATTTAAACATAAGGAACAGTGGGAAATATCTATCAAAATACTTTTTACAAATATACCAAGTACAATAAGCAGCAAAATACAAATAAAACAACAATGCACATTTTGCAAGAACACAAATAAGCAAAACGATGTGTTAAATTTCTTAGCATCATTGCATGTCTAGAGGGAGAAAACAGAGAACTATGGCAGGAAGATAATTGATCAATTAATCAGTCAATCAAGAGAGAAGCTAATAAAAATAATGTGTTATGCACTGATTTATGATTACTTCAATCCTCTTTACCTTATGCCCAAATACATATTATATATGTATTATATATAATTCTTAGCATATATAATATGCTACTTGTATGCATGCTAGTATATATAATACGCTATACACATAATATAATATATATGCTAAGAATATTGACACTAGGTGTGAATACTTGAAATCAGTACAGATGGTAATCAAATAGAATTTTAATTATTCACATCTGGATTCATGGATTTTTCTCATTAAGGATAGGTATGAGGAATACATTTTTGGGAGAATAAATAACTGCTTCTTAGATTAAGTAATTTTAGAATTCACATGGAAAGGAAGTACACTAAGTTCTGCATAAAAGACAGGAAGTGAATCACGAATTATACAAATCATTATATATTAGTGATTAGTATATGATTAAGTTTCACTTTCTACTGAGGGTGGAAAAGCCAAGAAACATAGAACACATGCTAACTCACTTTTGGAAAAGAGACCTACATCAAAATGTGAATATTAGAATAAAATGCAAGGGAGTTGGAAAAAAAAAAAAGCAAATAATCTACCAGAAACCTGGAAACTGTTTAAAACACCTTATTAGAAGCCCAGGGAAAATACGTGCCAAGGATCAAGAAACCCAGGTGCTCAAACAAAAACCCTGTATGGCTAACTGGCAAAGCAAAAGAGGTCATTGTGGGTGAGGAAAAGGAGATGGCATTTTTTAAAGGTACAATTGGTAAAGGGGACAAAACGAGAAAATCTATTAAGTAAGGTAAATCAGGTGCAAAAAACCCCATAAGACTAGCTAAAAAAAAAAGACTTTAAGGAATACTGTGCTTTATATTCCAAAGAAAATAATAAAAGCTTTAAAAAAAAAAAAATCAACAGCCAGACGTGAAGGCTCATGCCTGTAATCCCAGAACTTTGGGAGGCCGAGGCAGGCAGATCACCTGAGGTCAGGAGTTCGAGACCAACCTGACCAACATGGAGAAACCCTGTCTCTACTAAAAATACAAAACTAGCTGGGTGTGGTGGTGCATGCCTGTAATCTTAGCTACTCAGGAGGCTGAGGCAGGAGACTCTCTTGAACCCGGGAGGCAGAGGTTGCAGTGAGCCGAGATCACGCCATTGCACACCAGCCTGGGTAAGAAGAGTGAAACGCTATCTTTAAATAAATAAATAAATAAATAAATAGTAGGATGCCAGCTTAAGAATCACCAGGACTATACAATGATGGTAGTTGAAAAGCTGACCTTTGAAATAGAATTCAACAAATAGAATAAATGGATTCTTTATTTTGATTTTTATTATGAAAAAGTTAGCTAAATATTTAGCTATACATAATTGTAAAAAATAAAAAAACAGATAATTAATAAAAATACTTTGTAAATCCAAATATTCTCTTCATCAATGGCTTAGAATTAGAAAAGTAAAATTTTAAAATTATGGATCTGGGGGCCTACAATTGTATTTTTCATAAGTTTCCATGTGATTTTGATGATTGGTTTGTTTAGGAATCACTGTTCCAGATCTAATAGCAATCTAGAATTTAAATATAAACAATATCATGGCTAAAGTAAGTAATTATTCAGCTCATTTGTCAAGAAACAACATCCAAATCCATATTCTGCTGAACAACTGGAACAAGCTCATAGCTAATGTGATTTGCACCCAGAAAAGACCCTGAAAAGTACAAACTGTTAAAATACACTACCATATCTGACTGTCTGGAATTACAATAAAAGGCAAGATTATTTTACACTTAAATATGCATAGAAATTTAGTGGAAAGGCAATATGATATTCTTTCAAGGGAAATTGTTTCTATTAACTTTAGAATTATTTGACAGATTATTTATATGAGAAACAGTTAATACAATTTATTCAGAATTTAAATTATACAAAATTATGTAATTAAGGGTATTAAAAGCAGTTGATCAGTATGAAGTGGGAAGAACAAATTCTTTAAAGAGGGAATGACTCATAGACAGAAAAACAAAGGCTAGGGAGAGATAGGCTCCTTTCAAAAATGAGAAACAGATACCATGATGTGACAGTGGCCACAGGTGCCCAGATAGTTGGACAAACATTATTCTGGGTGGTTCTGTGAGAGTATTTTTAAATGAGATTAACATTTAAGTCATTAGAGTAAAGCAGATTGCCCTCCATAGTGTGGGTGGGCCTCATCCAATCAGTTGAAGGCCTACATAGAAGAAAAGGCTGACAATTTCTTGAGTGAGAGAATTCTCCTGCCTGATGGTCCTCAAACTGGAACATCAGCTCTTCCTGGTTCTACAGCAGCTTTCCAATTTCAGTCACCAACTGGGACATTGGCTCTGCAGATTTTGGGTTTGCCAACATCTATAATCATGTGAGCCAATTCCTTACCATAAATCACTCTTTCTTTCTATATATTCAATTGGTTTTGTTTCTCTGGAGAACCCTGACTAATACATAAGATTTAACCTACTTGGTGGCCTGCCAAGACCTACCTGAACAACTTCACTATGAAAGAAAGTCAGCAGGGAAACTTCATGACTTTCAAATAGCACTAAATATTTAAAGAAAGTGAAATGTCTGGTGGAGGAGTATAGGCTACAACTGAGTCTTACGTATAAATTGGCATATGAGTAGAAGCTAAGTATCTGAATGAACTAGTATAATAATGCATTTGAAAAATAAAAATTACACACACACACAATACCCACATACATACTTTCTATACTGCGAGGAAAATGCATTCATCTTGTAGAATCATTCCTAAGAATATTTTCTGAAAAACATGAGGCCAACAGAACAATAAGGCTTATTATTGAGAATGTAGTTAAAAGGAAAATTAGCTAGTAAGTTTATTCTTATCCTTGAGTAAAATATAATTTATTGAAATTAATGTACTGAATGCAGTTCTGTATGCCATACCTTAAGAAAGAAATAACAGTATAGAAACTGATCCAGAAAAGAACAACCATACAAAGATGAATGGGCTTTTTAAGATATGTGATTTAAAGAGACAAAAACTTAGAGGTAAGGGTGAATGTAGGGTTGGAAGAATCAAAGTTTATAAAATTATAAAAGATGTGAATATGATTAATATTTGTTTATCCAGATCTAGAATATTAGAACTAGAAGGCATCTCATTAAGTATAGAAGAATCATTAAATAAAATAATCAGGATCAATAAATAAAAATAGGTAATAAAACTTAGAGACAGCAAATGTAAATAGCATGGTGCCAATTATTTGGCCACAATGTTCATAATTATCGATTTTCTCAAATGAGAAAAAATGATATTTGTGGATTATAAAGTGAATAAATGCCATTTATATCACATAGATTATAGACTTGGAAAACACTTTTTATAAATATTGCATTAAAAAATGGCAATCTGGGCATGGTAGCATGTGCCTGTGGTCCCAGCTACTCTGGAGGTTGAGGTGGGAATGATTCCTTGAACCCAGGAGGTCAAGGCTGTGGAGAGCTATGATCATACCACTGCACTCCAGCCTGGGTGACAGAGTGAGAATCTGCATCCAAAAAAAAAAAAAAGCAAAAAGAAAGAAAGGAAGGAAGATGGAAGGAAGGAAGGAAAGAAAGAAAGAAAGAAATGTCAATCCTTGGAAATGAGAAGAAAACAATTTCTCCACGTGTCACTTTTTTTTTCTTCAAAGGTTTTCTATATCCTGAAGGAACTTAAATTTAAAAAGCTGCCATGATAGATACACTATTAAAAACCATATTCAGACCAAAGATGTGAGCTCCTATGTCTGACACCTTATGCATAAATCAATACTTACAGTCCTGTTAGTAAGATACATGCCTGGGATAATAGATATACAAAATGAAAGGCCTTAGATCAGAGCTTGCTTAGCAGGCCATTTAGGTTTATATCTTACTTTCTTCAAGGCATTTATTTACTTTAGGAGATGCTGGGCCACAGAGGTTTCATTGGAATGTGTAAGCCATTATTACTCAATGTAACTCACATTTGCCTTTCTAAGCATGATGCAATTGCTTCTTCCTTTCCTTCATTTCTAGCTGAAATTATGCAGCTTTAGCAATTGATCTTCAACAGAATCAATAAATTATTCCATCACAACCTCGGAGAACATGTAAATGCTCAAGGAACATTTCATACCTTAGAATAACTTACATTGCGGAGGTAAATTATTAGGTAAACATTTATTCCACTTATTACACACTCAAGTCTGTTCAAAAGATTGTGCTACATGTCTGAAGTGACTTTGACATTGAACTTAAAACAATGACTCTGGTTATTAGCTGATCAGTCTCATTTTATATCACATTCACAATTACTTGTTCAACCTTCAACTGCAGCTGCAATATCAGGCTATTCACAATTTTAATAGTACTACTTGTGACTCCAATCTACTTCACACAGTACTTTGAGATCTGTTTACAATGCAACTTGCACTTTAAAATTAGAATAATTGATAAAGTTCTCATGCCTCCATTTCCTTATCCGTAAGTAAAATTGCCCCCAAAATATACACAACCCAAAAAGCTGCAAATACTGGACTAGAGTATAAATTATAGAATTAAAAAGCTAAAAGAATAGAAATCCACAGAATTTGATTTTCTTAACTGGTAGTTCATGATGGCCTTGGGGATGGGTTGGTGGAAAAGTGATTTCATCCATCTGAATACATTTAGGAGTCATTCAAATGTTTTGTCTAGTAATTAAAAGAGGAAAGAACACCTCACATCTGCAAAAATTAGTTCAAACTACATAATTCTCTGTCTCTTATGTATTTTAAAGTGATAGTCCTACTGTATTAGTTCATTCTCAGATTGCTATAAAGAATTACCTAAGACTGTTTATGAAGAAGAGAAGTTTAATTGACTCACAATTCCACAGGCTTAACAGGAAGCATGACTGCGAGACCTCGGGAAACTTAGAATCATGGTGGAAGGCAAAGGGGAAACAAGCACCTTCTTCACATCGTAGTGAGAGAGAGAGAGAGAGAAAGAGAAAGTACCACATATTTTTAAACCATCAGATCTTGTGAGAACTCACTATCATGAGAACAGCATGGGGGAAATCCACCCCCATGATCTAATCACCTCCTACCTCTGGGTTCCTCCCCAAAACTGGGAGTTACAATTCAACATGAGATTTGCATAGGGACACAGAGCCAAGCCATATCACCTACATTAAATGCTCCAAATAAATTTCATTTGAATTTGATACAGAAGGATAATTTATTCTGATGATATTAAAGACTCAGAAAAAAAAAGTTTTTAATGCAACCACTCATTTTTAACATAAGATTTTTTTCTTGGCTGAGATGAAGGATACCAAGAAAATGCCATTTTCTTCCCCCTACTCTATCCGGGAGCTTTTTCTTTGGATTTTCACAAAAGAAAGACTTTTTAAAAATTATTTTTAAAATGAATCAGTGATGCCTTAATTTTATGTGTCATCATCTACATTTCATTTTCAACTTTTGCTGTTTTATCTTCTTCCTTGTTAGGCTCTTTGAATCTGGCTTTGTTGTTCCTGTTCCTGACATTTATGAATAAATAAAAACTATGGAACTCAACAAGTGAGACAATCCTAGAATAATAGATGCATAATGAAGAATCTCACAGAAGTTTCTTTCTAGTGGGCCACCTAACCCTTGCCTCACCCTCACCTAAGTATATAAGTAAAGATGAAGTTTTAGATGAAACCTCTGGTGTACAGAGATTTCATCTAGGAATGTTGCTACAGTGCAAACTGTCATTATCTAGATAAAATCACATATATTTTCCTCAAAATAATGATACTCTCACTTGCTTTCCTTCACAGCCCAGCTGAAACCATTTAGCCTTAGGACTTTGTCTTCAGTGGGACATATTGATTATACCATCATATCTCAAGAGACACACATCCACATACCCAAATCATTCCACATCTTAAAATAATTTTCACTGCAGAGAAACATCAATGAGTGTGCATTTGCTCCTCTTATCTGGTGTTTCACACTGAATTCTGTTCAGAAAATATTGATCAGCATGCTTGGATTTGGTTAAGAATATGAATAAATTTAATCAACGTATCAGCTGAAAATGCCATGAAAAAAATCCACACAAAATAGAAATCTACAGGTTAATTAAACACACTCAAAATACATTCATAAAATAAGAACATGGTGGGGGAACAGGGTAAAAGAAACAGATGAACTAAACTGACTTTTCTTGCAAATAGGTATATAACAGAGTGGACTCAAGGTTATCCTGCATAAAATGAATGTGGCAAAAGAGTCCTGCTAATGACTTTCCAATTGCTACACAATAGTTGTTTTCAAATAAAACCAACAAGCTAATTACAGGCATATTACCTGAGGCCACATATTAGGTTGGTGCAAAAGGGATTGCAGTGCTTGCCATTAGAAGTAATTAAAAGTAATGGCGAACACTGCAATTACCTGATAAATCTTGTTTTTCTTAGTGACATTTTTGTACACTCTTGCAACAACTTCTTTGAATGTGAATAGGTTGTATATATGCAAAAATATGTGACTATATAAATATAGAATATGTTATGATCATTGAAAAGCCTGGCTCAAAATACCTATGCCATATTTATTTATCCATGCTTTTATCTCTAAACCCCTTTATTAACATATCTGGCCTCTACCTCTACTATTTTCACAATATTTTTCATTTGTATATATTACTATTGATATGACACATGATACAACATGATTTTATCTGGATTCTTCTATTTATAGCTATTTTTAGCCTCTGTGGACAGCTCCATAGGGAGAATGAACTATTCGTCAACGTCACCCATATTTTACTGAAGATTTTGAAGGTATTCCAATGTGACTGACTACTACGTTTCCTCACATGTGTGCTGCTGTATCTGAGATCACCATGTTTTCAATTATCTCATATGAACCTGTAAGTAAGATAAATCTACTTTTAAAAACATTAGAGATATTGGAACAGTAAGGAAAATATTTTTAATTAAAATATCTGCTACTGGCAACTTTGTCATCTTCCAAATGTAAATATAGAACTTCCATAACCATAAAGTTTGTTGTAAAACTTCGTGATGATCCTTTCATCCAAGGGAGTAGCAAGGTCATGTTAAAATTACCTGGAGAGAGAAATAGAGGTGTGTTCACATTTTTTTTCTTTTTTTAAAATTTTTTTTTATTATACTTTAAGTTCTGGGGTACATGTGCTTAATGTGCAGTAAGGTGTGTTCACATTTTAAAACTATTAATAAGAACTCAAGAGGCCCTCCTGCCCCAAATAGACTCTCCTTAAAAACTGTATCTGATATAATTCCACTTATCTGGGAACAGAACCTAAACTATTTTTTCCCCAAGTAAATGCTGCTGTTTCTTATGTCTGCATCTTCCCACACACAACTCTCTGGAATACTCTTTATTTTCTCTCTCTCTGGTAAAGGCCTACTTTCATTTGAGATTCATATTCTCTGAGACATACTCCTTGAGAACATTCTAGGCTTATGAAAGTCCCCTCTCCCATCTCTGTGCTCCCATGACATTTTGCCCCTATGATATTTATCACCCATCACAAAATTGTTATTATTATTACTATTATTATTATTATATGAGACAGGATCTTGCTCTCTTGCCCAGCCTGGAGTGCAGTAGCATGATCATGGCTCACTGCAGACTTGACCTCCTGGGCTCAAGTGTTCTCCCACCTCAGCATCCTAAATGGCTGGGAGTACAGGCGTAGGCCACTACAGCTGACTAATTTCTGTATTTTTTGTAGAGACAGGGTCTCATTCTGTTGCCCAGGCTGCTCTCAAACTCCTAGGCTCAAGCAATCCACCCACCTTGTCCTCCAAAAGTGCTGGGATTATAGGTGTGAGACACCATACCTGACCTGTTTTTAAGTGTTAGATTCTCCTACTACACTAGGTATCTCTGAAGAGAAGAATTAAGCAAGAATAAAATCTTATTCTAAAATCGCTTATCACAGAGGTAGCAAGTTAATGTCAACATAGTCTAAATTCTGATTTGTAGGTATTTTTTTCACTTTTATGGTGTTTTACAAATATTGAAATTTTTGTATGAAGGTACAAATTTCTGGCTCCTCTTGAAAAATCTAAAATCTTACAACACTAGGCCTTCATTCCCACATGATAACATGAGGCTACAGTTGAATAATGGATGTCCATTTTGGACATGGTCCCTGTCTCCAGTTTGTCTCAGTTTTCATCATTCAATTTGTTCTATATCTTGCTTTACTTTCCTTGGTAATACTATATGCCTGCTATAGTATTTAATTGTGTTAGAGATTCCAGGCCTATTCAAAGTAATCTTTAAGGCTATTAGAAAATACATGAAATAATAGAACACAATGATAATAGCAGAAACTGACTTTCATAGCACATAGAGCATTGTGGAAGGCCAGGCCTGTTCCAGGTACAAAAGATGAAAATCTGGGTTGTAATGGGCACAAGCAGAAAGTGGTAGGAAGTTGTTAGACCCTCAAAGGAAGATGAGGATGACAGAATGCAGAATAGGAAATGTATAAAATTAATTTCACCTTCTTTACAGCTTTGCTTAAGGGCAGGATTAGTGATAAGATTTGAAACTGAATCTGCAAAGCTCACATTAAAACATTCAATGTTGTAAAAGGAAAGATTTGCAGAACAGTACCATATGATCTTCCTAGAAGGTCTTTTGTGAAAGATATTCTACTTCTCCCAGTATTTTGGCTTTTCTTCACCTCAGTTCATGTATTTCTGTACCTGATAATTTTTGAGTTATGAATTTGAATGATCTTTGTTGCTGAATTTTATTAGGCTCTGTATGTGCAAAATCCCCAGACGTGATGGTCTTATGGATAGTGGGTGCATGTGTGCGTATGTGTATATGAGTGTGTGTGTTGTAGGAAAATTGGAATTAAGAGAGAATAGGAAAAGAAGAGTGATAGGAAGGTATAGAAATGGTTAGATGATATATGGTTAATAGATTTAACCAGTTGTTAAATCTAAAAATATATATATTAAATATGTATTAAATATTGACTATTATGATCACTTTCTCTTATTGTTACCTTCATCCTGTAGATCAGGCAAACAGAACTGATTGTCTTGAAATCTTGAACTTTGAATGCTCAGACTGTTCATGTTCCTCCATGTAATGCTTTAAAAGAAGATTGGTAATAAGGAAAAGGTCTCTGCAATGATAACATAACAGTCACATATTCTAAGCAAGTAATAAAGATGACTATGATTACAGTAATAGAAAATGGTGGGAAGAGAAAATTGCAATACCCAAGAAAGAAGTAGGTTCCTGTCTGTGCCTCCTCAAAAATTTTACTCAATTTTAACAGATAACCAGTTATTACATATTTATCTTTTTTACCACTGTGGTAGGCATTTTGGGAGACATGGAGACAGAATCTCCTTTCTCAAATGGCTTATGTGTAGAAGTGAAATTATTGGTGTTAAGGATATATATCTGTTTAGGTTACAATTGTTAACTAACTCTACATCTATAGCATTACAGTACCATTTTCAAGGTAGAGTGCCCTGCATTTTGCTCCATGCATCAATCACTGTTGCCATCATATATCATTGGGAGATATCCTATCTGTTAGGACATTAGTATAGATTGGAAAGTAGAATGATAGTTACCAGGTGTTGGGGTGGTTGGCTGGGGGGCAGGGGAGAGATGCTGGTCAAAGGATACAAAATTTTAGCTAGGGAAAAGGGTTCAATTCAAGAGATCTATCATACCACATGGTGACCATAGCTAACAATAAATTATATTCTTGAAAAATGCTGAGAGTGGATATAAAATCTTTGCATCACAAAAGTCATAATTATGAGAGGTAATGCATGTTAATTAGCTATACTTAGTCTTTCCATAGTGTATACAGACTTCAAAACAACTTGTTGTTTCATTTGTCAATTTAAACAGTTTCATTTGTCAATTTAAAAATTCTAAAAAAAATAAGAAATTTTGGGCCAGGCACAGTGGCTCATGTCTGTGGGAGGCTGAGGCAGGCAGACTGCTTGAGCCCAGCAACTCAGGACTAGCCTGGGCAACATAATGATACCTTGTCTCTACAAAAAAAAAATACAAAACTTAGCACACGCCGGTAGTCCCAGCTACTCCAGAAGCTAAGCAGGAGACTCGCTTCATCCTGGGAAGTTATGGGTACAGTGAGCCATGATCCTGCCACGTGACAGAGGGATACCCTGTCTTAAATAAATAAATAAATAAATATAAAAAATAAAGATATTTTCCTTTTATTCATAATCTACATATTCCTTTTGTTCAAATCACAAATACATGTTGAATTTTTACCAGAAAAGGAAATTTCTAAATTATGACAAAAATTCATAGAGATGATAAATTAATCACACATCAGGAATTATATTGCTACATGATCCCTAGTTTGGGGGCTAATTGTTTAATCAGGGTGCTATGGTTTGGCTGTGTCCCCACCCATATCTCATCTTGAACTGTAATCTCCACGTGTCCAGGGAGGTACCTGGTGGGAGGTGATTGGATCGTGGGGGCCATTTCCCCCATGATGATTTAAAAGTGTCAGTTTCCCCTGTGCTCTCTCTCTCCTGCCATCTTTTGAAGATGTGCCTTGCTTCCCCTTCACCTCCATTGTAAGTTTCCTGAGGCCTCCCAGCCATGCGGAACTGTGAGTCAATTAAATCTTTCCTTTATACATTACCCAGTCATAGGTAGTATCTTTTTTTTTTTTTTTTTTTTTGAGACAGAATCTCGCTCTGTCACCAAGGCTGTAGTGCAGTGGCACGATCTTGGCTCACTGCAACCTCTGCCTTTAATTCCTAGGATTTAACCCTAGTTTGAGTCAAATGTAGAGTAAGAATGTCTAGCACCACCTATGGTAGCCCGTCATTGGGATAATTCATCCAACAACCAGGCATTTGGACAATAAAAAATGACTGAAAAATGCCCCTACACTTAAAGGACTCAGCCTCTGGAGGGAGGAGGGGGCGCATAATCACAATTCATTTTTTATTGTCCAAATGCCTGGTTGTTGGATGTTGTAATTCATGTTCATACAAAGTGATGGGATCAAGAAAAAGAGTTGGGGACTTATCCTGCTATGACACAGAAACTGATGAGTTCTTGAATGATCGCAAGAGTTCTCTAGCAGAAGAAATGTTTCTATTTTAGGAAAGATCATGTGCAATGTGCATAGACAAAGGAGGATGCAGTAATCATATTTGTTTTACAAATGAGAAACTGGAGGTAGAGCAGCTAAAATATGACATTGGAGACAGTAAGATGGATAAGGGGGTATTTCAAAAGTCTAGACAAAAGATTTTGATGGTTATTTTCCTATATTCTCTCTCAGTAATAAGGACATTATAATTCATCCAGCCTAACATGATAGCCATCTCAAATCAGTTCTGACTTCTACTTTTCTCATGAGTCTGACCTTTAATTCATCAAGTACTTTGTCCCGCCTCCTGAAGAAATTTCACTTCTAGCCTTTGACCTTCTTCATGTCCAATCCATTGACTAAATTCTAACCAGCATAGCCTTGCCAGCAAAGATTATTTATTTAAGAGTTAAGAGTGGCGGTTTGGGGATAGCACCAGGAGATATCAGCTGTGATGGCTTGGAGAAACAGTGTAAACTGGCAGTGTAAACAAGAGCAGGGCATGTATGAGTAGTTGAGAATGGTGAATAGGAGTATGACTAGACAGAAGATAGTAGGGATGACAAGTTTTTTGGGGCACAGTCCAAGTTGGTCTGGTGTCTAGAATGAGACTGGGGCCTAATAAAAAGGAGCGTCTATACAGGAGCTCAAATGGGCTGTACCTTGTCGCATTCCGAGGACAGGCCTGAATTCTGAGAAGGGAAAGTGGTAAAAGTATTGTCTACAAAATGCAATGATTCTGCTTATTATTGGAACACAAATGTAATTGTTTTTTATAATAACTCTTATAGCTTTCTTTTACAATATCTACATGAGAAAAGCTTATTTGCTAGAGCTGTCAACTAGAATGAAGTAGACAATCTTCTCTTGATGCAGTCCTCATTCAATTTCTAAACATAGATGTGTTCAGCTCCTCAGTCCATACTGACTGTTTAATCTTATTGAGCATTTATGTAATACTTCATTCTTCAACAATCTGAAGAGTTGAATAAGTACTAAAGCAGAGCAGCAAGGTTATAATGCAATCCCTTCTATTTAAAAACTGTAAGGATGTTTGAACAATCAAATGAAAAATAGTGAATTATGATGATATCTTAACAATGTGTTGAACAAATAACTCTAGTTCTATGTAACCACAGGGATAAAATATTGAAAGAAGAAAAACAAGACTGAAATGAACGAATGGCTTTTAGCTTTGCTGAATCCTAGTACTTACAAAGATTAGTCTGGTTTCCAGCCTTTGACTCCCTCATCTCCCTCACCTACCTCACCTATCCATTTCTATCAAGGATTACATTTTGATATTGGGCTCAAAACTAAAGCCTCAGCTTTATCTTTAATTCCTAGGATTTAACCCTAGTTAAACATGCTTGATAGGTACAAATTTGGTTTTGAGTATGCTTGGTTAAGATGCCTGAAAATAACCTGGTGCCTGACTAACAGGTGAAGATACTCAATAGGAAGCTGGAAATGTGAGTCTTAAATGAGTTGGGGGCTGAAGATAACATGTTGATACTCATTAGTATAATTATCCATGTCAAAATCCCAGACTTCATTACTTATAAGCAGAAAATAGCTTTATCCTTTCTTTTCACTGCCCCTTAAAACTCTCACAAAGAGCTATTTTCTAACCACTTGGATAACATCTTCAACAGATCCTTCTCTACATAATTCCTTATTATAAAAATAACTGTGGTCATTTTTTTTATTTTCAAGAAAAGAGGAGCTCTGAGGTTACATGAAAGCCAGGTTTTGAGAATTATCTAGACTCGTCATTGTATTCAGCTTTATGACTTTCCCACAGATATGTAATATTGAAAACAAAATACTTTTCTTATTAACTGTTGGCATAATTAAGGATAATGGTGGGCTGTGAAGTAGCTTGAGCTTTGTATTACTAGATATTTATTATAATGTACTGCTGTTTCCTTTTGTTTTTCTGTCTTGTCACATTCTAGGATCCTAGAAAAATGACTTAATATATAATTATATATTATATATATAATTATATATATAATATATATTTGTGAATATATAATTTGAAATCTATAGGCTTACCTATGCATGTTCTAAAACACATTCAAAAACTGCTCATCTAGAAAGTAGATTTGTATAGATATTTTTATTCCTAAATATTGCTGGTTCTCACTTTTGGTGTTCTTAGTGTCTCTTCTTTAAAATGCTTCAGCTACTCTTCACTTTCATTGCTTATAGTAGATTACTTAGGATTATATGAAAATAGTGAATTATATGAAATTATATTCTAACATTTATGAATAGTTTGGCTGTATTTTTTAATCTCGCTGTGAAGTTAAATAATGAACATCAAGTAAGGTCGAATAAATCAACAAATACAAATATTTTTACAAATAAGTATTGTTTTGGCTTGTTTTCTTTGAATTAAAAATGCTGTAGTTTTATGACATGCCAAGTCATAAGTGCTGTCCAGCCTGTGTGAGCTAGTTTTCCATGGGTGAAGTACCTGTGCTGGCTCCAAACAGCTATGCCAAGGTGGGTTTAGGGTGGCCTAGAACTTAACATGGCCACCTGGTTGCCTTTGCCATGAGGCACCTTCAATTATTAAGAAATGTTGGCTCAATGAATATTTTGATCGTTGTGCCTAGTACACCCTTATCCTCTCTCCTCTTTCTTGTATTTCTGTCCTTATCATCACTTCCCAGGCTCCCTGAACCCCTTCCCTGATCTCTTCATTGACTGCCTGTCTCTTGTTTCCTTCAGATATTCTTATAAAAAAAGTTGTTGCTTAGTAAAGTTAAAGAATGGTAAAATAGATTACTAAATTTTTTTTAGAGTCTTGAGTGTAGCTATACATTTTTATATGTTAGCAAAGTTTATTTCTGTATTTCATTCAGGTTTCTGTTCAGAAAAAATCCTTCCCTGGTGATCCTATTGTGGTAGACATAAAACTGTGCCACCCAGATCCCATTCCAGGGAAGAATATGCTGCTGAGCTGTTGGAAGTACAATCAGTGGAAAACCTTGGTCTGTCAGCAACTTCAAGGTTTGCCTCCTTTGCAGAAATGGTCCATTCAAAGTCATGCCCTTCCTATAGCAGTCTACATTCAACCACTGAGTGAGGCAGAAATAAAAAAGTGCTGATAATTTTCAACCTACAAGGGCATTAATGAGCAATACCTGCTCCAGAGCTCCACAGTGGGTTCTCAGAAGATGTGTCTTGCCTGCAGCACAGCTTGACTCCTTCCACTATTCATTTTTTCTTCTTTTCCTTTTACTTCAGAGGCATTAAAAATGAATAAAAATCTTGAACTCCAGACTCTGTCTCAGTACCTGCTTAGTATTTCACAGAACCTAGAGTGAGATACCTACCTGAAACTATTTCCTGTTACTTCACTTCCTCTTTGTCTAGTATACATGTTTTCATAGCAACTAAGGCAAGGCTGTGTATTTACTTGTTTTTTTTGTTGTTTTTTGTGTGGTTTTTTTTTTTGACGGAGTCTCGCTCTGTCGCTCACTGCAGCCTCTGCCTCCCAGGTTTAAGCAATTCTCCTGCCTCAGCCTCCCAAGTAGCTAGGACTACAGACGTACGCCACCACGCCCAGCTAACTTTTGTATTTTTAGTAGAGACGGGGTTTCACAATGTTGGGCAGGATGGTTTCGATCTCTTGACCTCATGATCTGCCTGCCTCGGCCTTCCAAAGTGCTGGGATTACAGGTGTGAGCCACTGCGCCCGGGCTTATTTGCTTTTTTGTTTGTTCATTTATTGCTCTTTGTGGGCAAGGACTCATCCCTGTTGTTCGTTGTTGTATTTGTATTCCAAGAACATAAATTACTGCCTGGCACATAAAGAGTGTTCCATAATTTCATGTGCGTCCGTGTGAAGAGACCACCAAACAGGCTTTGTGTGAGCAATAAAGCTGTTTATTTCACCTGGGTGCAGGCGGGCTGAGTCTGAAAAGAGAGTCAGTGAAGGGAGATAGAGGTGGGGCATTTTATAGGATTTGGGTAGGTAAAGGAAAAAGGATGGTTGTTCTGTGGTGGGCAGGAGTGGGGGTCACAAGGTGCTCAGTAGGGGAGCTTTTGAGCCAGGATGAGCCAGGAGAAGGAATTTCACAAGATAATGTCATCAGTTAAGGCAGGAACAGGCCATTTTCACTTCTTTTGTGGTGGAATGTCATCAGTTAAGGCAGGAACCAGCCATCTGGATGTGTACATGCAGGTCACAGGGGATATGATGGCTTAGCTTGGGCTCAGAGGCCTGACATTCCTGTCTTCTTATATTAATAAGAAAAATAAAATGAAATAGTGGTAAAGTGTTGGGGCAGTGAAAATTTTGGGGGGTGGTATGGAGAGATAATGGGTGATGTTTCTCAGGGCTGCTTCGAGCGGGATTAGGGGCAGTGTGGGAACCTGGAGTGGGAGAGATTAAGCTGAAGGTTTTGTGGCAAGGGGTGATATTGTGGGGTTGTTAGAAGAAACATTTGTCATTTAGAATTATTGGTGATGGCCTGGATACAGTTTTGTATGAATTGAAAACTAAATGGAATAAGAGAAGGAGAAAAACAGGTATTAAAGGACTAATAATTGGGAGGACCTAGGACATCTAATTAGAGAGTGCCTAAGGAGGTTCAGCATAGCCTTGCCCAGCAAAGATTATTTATTTAAGAGTTAAGAGTGGCGGTTTGGGGATAGCTCCAGGAGATATCAGCTGTGATGGCTTGGAGAAACAGTGTAAACTGGCAGTGTAAACAAGAGCAGGGCATGTATGAGTAGTTGAGAATGGTGAGCAGGAGTATGACTAGACAGAAGATAGTAGGGATGACGAGTTTTTTGGGGCACAGTCCAAGTTGGTCTGGTGTCTGGAATGAGACCGGGGCCTAATAAAAAGGAGCGTCTATACAGGAGCTCAAATGGGCTGTACCTTGTCGCATTCTGAGGACAGGCCTGAATTCTGAGAAGGGAAAGTGGTAAAAGTATTGTCCAGTCCTCTTTAAATTGGTGGCTGAGCTTGATGAGGTGTGTTTTTAAAAGACCATTAGTCTGTTCTACCTTTCCTGAAGACTGAGGACTGTAAGGGATATAAAGGTTTCACTGAATACTAAGAGCCTGAAAAAATGCTTGGCTGATTTGGCTAATAAAGGCTGGTCCATTATCAGACTATATAGAGGTGGGAAGGCCAAACCGAGGAATTATGTCTGACAGAAGGGAAGAAATGACCGCAGTGGACTTCTCAGACCTTGTGGGAAAGGCCTCTACCCATCCAGTGAAAGTGTCTACTTAGACTAAGAGATATTTTAGTTCTCTGACTCAGGGCATATGAGTAAAGTCAATTTGCCAGTCCTGGGCAGGGACAAATCCTCGAGCTTGATGTGTAGGAAAGGGAGGGGGCCTGAACAATCCCTGAGGGTTAGTAGAATAGCAGATGGAACAACTGAGACGTGATCTCCTTGAGGATAGATTTCCATGATGGAAAGGAAATGAGAGGTTCTAAGAGACGGGCTAGCAGCTTGTAACCTACATGGAAGAGGTTATGAAATGACGACAGAATAGAATGGGCCTGTGAGGCTGGAAGGAGATATTTTCCTTGGTCTTAGAACTATTTGCCTTGTGTGGGAAGAGATTGGTAGGTGGAAGTTTCAGCGGGGGAGTAGGTGGGAGTGACCAATGCGAAGGAGAAAAATTGGCTGTGAGGGACAGAAGTTGGGAAGCTAGCTGCTTGTCTAGCCACCTTATCAGCATAAGCGTTGCCTAGAGCAATGGGATCTGATGCCTTTTGATGGCCTTTGCAGTGAATGACTCCAGCTTCCTTTGGAAGTAAAGTGGCCTTGAGCAGAGTTTTTATTAAAGAGGCATTAATGACGGAGAACCTTTGCGTAGTGAGGAAACCTCTTTCAGCCTATATAACAGCATGGTGGTGCAGAATATGACAGGCATATTTAGAGTCACTATAAATATTGACGTGTAGTCCTTTTGCAAGAGTGAGGGCTTGAGTTAAGGCAACTAGTTTGGCTTGCTGAGAGGTAGTGGAGGGGGGCAGAGCGGTAGCCTTAATGATAGATGGGGAAGATACTATAGCATAGCCTGCCTTTGCTGGTGAGTGGTGATTAGGCCTGGCGGAGCTGCCATCAATAAACTAAATGTGATCAGGGTGAGGAACAGGAAAGAAGGAAATATGGGGAAATGGGATGAATGTCAGGTGGATCAGAGAGATACAGTCATGAGGGTCAGGTGTGGTATCCAGAATAATGTGGAAGGCCAGATTGAAGTCCGTGCCAGGAACAATGGTAATTGTGGGAGACTCAACAAAGAATGAGTATAGCTGAAGGAGCTGGGGAGCAGAAAGTATGTGCATCAGGTGGGAGGAAGAAAATAGATTTTGGAAGTTATGAGAAATGTAGAGAGTGAGTTGAGCATAGTTTATGATTTTTAGGGCCTTTAAAAGTATTAAAGCAGCGGCAGCTGATGCACACAGACATGAGGGCTAGGCTAAAACAGTAAGGTCAAGTTGTTTGGATAAAAAGGCTACAGGGTGTGGTCCTGGCTCTTGGGTAAGAATTCTGACCGCACTAACCATGCCTAGGAAGGAAAGGAGTTGTTGTTTTGTAGAAGGGATTGGGGTTTGGGAGATTAGCCGGACACGATCAGCAGGGAGAGCACATTGTTTTTATGAGAATTATGCCGAGATAGGTAACAGATGAGGAAGAAATTTGTGCTTGATGGAAATAATGGGGGCTGTCTGTGAAGCCTTGCGGCAGCACAGCCTAGGTAATTTGCTGAGCTTAATAGGTGTCAGGGTCAGTCCAAGTGAAAGCGAAGAGAGGCTGGGATAAAGGGTGCAAAGGAATAGTAAAGAAAGCATGTTTGAGATCTAGAACAGAATAATGGGTTGTGGAGGGAGGTATTGAGGATAGGAGAGTATACGGGTTTGGCACCACGGGGTGGATAGGCAAAACAATTTGGTTGATAAGGCGCAGATCCTGAACTAACCTCTAAGTCTTGTCTAGTTTTAGGACAGGTAAAATGCGGGAATTGTAAGGAGAGTTTATAGGTTTTAGAAGCCTATGCTGTAGCAGGTGAGTGATAACAGGCTTTAATCCTTTTAAAGCCTGCTGTAGGATGGGATATTGGCATTGAGTGGGGTAAGAGTGATTAGGTTTTAATAGGATGGTAAGGGGTGCATGATCGGTCGCTAAGGAGGGAGTAGAGGTGTCTTATACTTGTGGGTTAAGGTGGGGAGATACAAGGGGAGGATGTGAAGGAGGCTTTGAACTGGGGGAAAAGATGGCAATGAGGTGCGGCTGTAGCCTAGGAATAGTCAGGGAAGCAGATAATTTAGTTAAAGTGTCTCAGCCTAATAAGAGAACTGGGCAGGTGGGGATAACTAAAAAGGAGTGCTTAAAAGAGTACTGTCTTAGTTGGCACCAGAGTTGGGGAGTTTTAAGAGGTTTAGAAGCCTGGCTGTCAAAACCCACAACAGTTATGGAGGCAAGGGAAACAGGCCCTTGAAAAGAAGGTAATGTGGAGTGAGTAGCCTCCATATTGATTAAGAAGGGGACGGACTTACCCTCCACTGTGAGAGTTACTTAAAGCTTGGCGTCCGTGATGGTCTATGGGGCTTCCAAGGCGATCGGGCAGCATCAGTCTTCAGCCGCTAAGCTGAGAAGATCTGGGAAGGAGTCAGTCAGAGAGCCTTGGGCCAGAGTTCCAGGGGCTCTGGGAGTGGCTGCCAGGTGAGTTGAACAGTCCAGTTTTCAGTGGGGTCCTGCACAGATGGGACACGGCTTAGGAGGAATCCTGGGCTGCAGGCATTCCTTGCCCTGGTGGCCAGATTTCTGTCACTTGTAGCAAGCTCCTGGGGGAGGCGGTTCTGGAGGAATGCCTGGCCGCTGCAGTTCGGGTGTTTGGAAGTTCTTGTGTGCTGGAGATGTGGCTGGGGTTTGTCTTACAGTGGAGGCAAGGAATTGCAACTCAGAAATACATTGTTACTTGGCTGCCTCTACTCTATTATTGTACACCTTGAAGGTGAGGTTAATTAAGTCTTGTTGTGGGGTTTGAGGGCCGGAATTTCATTTTTGGAGTTTTATTTAATGTCGGGAGCAGATTGGGTAATATAATGTATATTGAGAATAAGACGGCCTTTTGACCTTTTAGGGTCTAGGGCTGTAAAGCATCTCAGGGTTGCTGCCAAACGAGCCATGAACTGGGCTGGATTTTTATATTTGATGAAAAAGAGCCTAAATGCTATCTGATTTGGGATAAAGAAAAAGGAGCATTAACCTTGACTATGCCTTTAGCTCCAGCCACCTTTTTAAGAGGAAATTGCTGGGCAGGTGGGGGAGGGCTACTCACGGAATGAAACTGTAAGTCGGACCTGGTGTGAGTAGGGGAGGTGATAAAAGGATTATAGGGTGGAGGAGCGGAGGCTGAGGAAGAATCGGGACCTAGCTTGGCCTGGCGAGGAGGGGAGAGGTCAGATGGGTCTGTAGAAAAGGAAGATTAGAAAGACTCAGCGACGCTTGGGGTTGGGACTGAGAGGACAGGCAGGAGGGAAAGAAGGAAGATTTGGGATGAGTTGCATTGGGAACAGAGATGAGGGAGGGACCTATGTGTAAAAGAATGCCTGGATGTCAGGCACCTCAGCCCGTTTGCCTATTTTACGACAAGAATTATTTAGATCTTGTAGGATGGAAAAATTGAAAGTGCAATTTTCCGGCTATTTGGAACTACTGTCGGGTTTGTATTGGGGTCAAGCAGCATTGCAGAAGAAAAAAAGACGCTTAGATTTTAGGTCAGGTGAGAGCTGAAGAGGTCTGAAGTTCTTAAGAATACAGGCTAAGGGAGAAGAAGGAGGAATGGAAGGTGGAAGCTTGCCCATAGTGAAGGAGGCAAGCCCAGAGAAAAGAGTAGAGACACGGAGAAGGAGTGGGGGTTTGTTGCCTTCCAGAAAAGCAGGAAAGGGGTTGGGGCACGGAAATAAGGGATTGGGGCGTCTTGCCCCTAGAAAAGCGGGACTTGCCGCTAAAGGTGAAGGAGAAGGGGTTGAGGGGTACTTGCCCCTCCCCCAGAAAAGCGGGACTTGCCGCTAAGGGTGAAGGACCAATGTGTGATTTGGATCTTGATGGAAGAAGATAAATTAACTATAGGTTTAGGCAACATTACAGCCAGCATTACATCTGGAAAAGAGCTCCACCTTGAACAGCATCCAGGCCAGTCAAATCACCATCATGCTGGTCTCTTTTATAACACATTCAGTAGTTAATGCTGCTTTTATGTTTCCTAACTGCCTGTCCTAGGTGAGTTTGATAGCCCTGAGTCATCCAGTCTCTTGTTTTAAGTCAGAATGGATTCACTTACATCTTATTTGCATAACAAATAATCTTGTATACACTTAGGTGAATACTAAGATGGCAACAACAGCACTCTTATTAATTACTCATGTACAAATGGTACAGAATACGAGGTGCTCAAGAAATGTTATTAAAATTCTTTTTTTTATATATTTTTATTATACTTTAAGTTCTAGGGTACATGTACGCAACGTGCAGTTTTGTTACATATGTATACATGTGCCATGTTGGTGTGCTGCACCCATTAACTCATCATTTACATTAGGTATATCTCCTAATGCTATCCTTCCCCCGACCCCACGACAGGCCCCAGTGTGTGATGTTCCCCTTCCTGTGTCCAAGTGTTCTCATTGTAAAATTCTTCACATCAAAAGCTGGTAGATAAAATAGCCACATAACCACCTATTTTTTTTTTAAAGAAACCTTTAAAACTGTGTGTATTTTCTTGTTTAAGGATTTTAATTTAATGTAGTATACAGTTTCTCATAAATCAGCCTTCCTTTTGTCAGTCCATCTGTATTTTCATTATTTCTGATTCATTTTCTTCTTATTTTCTACTTTGTTAGTCTCTGTTTTCTCTTTTGTCTCTTAGCCTTTTCTCCTACAGCTGGCTTCATGTTTCTTTTGCAGTCTCTTTTTCCCCCTTATTCTTAATTTTTCCTTCCCAAATATGAATAACAGAGTAAAAAAGAGAGAGAGGTATTAATGAACAGATTGGCAGTGGAGTATCCATGTACAACTTTATTTCATAATATATTTCACGAGATATTTATTTAATTTTATTTTACTGTGCTCTTTTAAAAAGTACTTTTACATTGAAAATAACTGCTATCTTTTTATTTTTGTGCGGGGATGTTTTATACAAAGGGTGGCTGGATGCAATGAGATAAAGGTCCAAGGATAAGGAAGATGAACCAAGATAGAGAGAAGAACAAGCTTACCCCAATGCTTGCTTGCATATGTGCTGTAATATTTCCTGTGAACAAAACAAAACTAACTAAATAATAATTTTAAAATCCCATTACATCTAGCCCTTACTATAAAAAAAAATTGGATTTTAAAATTTATATTCCCAATTAGACTCTGCTGCTAACTCTCTGTATATCACTGGCTTTCTTCTTCACCATTATTAATGTAAAGTTAATGAAATCTTAGAAATGAAAGAAAATTATCAACTACCCTTATAATCACAATTTACAGGTGAGGAAACTAAGACTAATATTTTAAATATTCTAGTAGAAAGATCCAGAACATTGCCTCATCTGATTTACATATTTTGTAAGATTTTCATAATTATGCAATAGAGTAAAATGGTTAACAACATGATTAATGGAACATTTCTGCCAGGTTTATGTCTCAGCTCTGCCATTTATCAGTTGTGAGACCTTGGGCCAGTAAATGTATCTCTTTATATCCCACTTTCCTTATTTGTAAAATGGAGATGGCAGTTACCATATATGCTGATTTTGATGACCATATGGTAGTTATACTTCTGTAGTAGTCACTATATTCCTGAAATTAGTAAGAGCCCTATACACGCAGCTATTACTGTTACCTCCAAGCCTACTTCTGCTCATGCAATTCCTCTTTAAGTGAATAAATCAAACCAGAAAAGTTGAATTAACCTATTCCCCTCCCTCCTCTTCAACCCCATATTCACTCATTCCCAACACTGCTCCGTTTCAGAGTCATAATTTTTCACCTTGATTATCAAAAGCATCTCCATGGCTCTTCTGTGTCTCCTCCATTCTGCTGAAAATGCAGCAATTTTTAAAGGAAAAACTTACCATGCTACTCTTCTGCTTCAGAAACAATGCTAATATTTGTTGAGTAGCTCCAATATGTCCCATACTACATAGTTCTAGTCTTCACTCCTGCTCTTACAGTTAAGCATTTTTTACCCCCATTTTACTGAAGAGAGTACTGAGAGCCAGAAATGCCAAGTAAGGTATACAAGGTTACATAACTGGTAAGTCTCAAAGTCACATTTGGAGCTAAGCTTGCTCCCATCCAGAGCTTATGATGTATGCAACAAACAGTTTTCTCATCACCAACAAGATAAAAATCTAAGCAATCTGGCAGGCAAAAAAAAAAAAAAACTCTCTAGACTGACTCCTTATTTATCTCTTTGGATATTTTTGTTGTTTTTGGGTTTTGTTTTTGTATTTAAGATGGAGTCTCGCTCTGTCATCCAGGCTGGAGTGTAGTGGCATGATCTCGGCCCACTGCAACCTCCTCCTCCTGGGTTCAAGTGATTCTCCTGCCTCAGAGTCCTGAGTAGCTGGGATTACAAGTGTGTGCCACCACACCCAGCTAATTTTTGTATTTTAGTAGAGACAGGGTTTGTCATGTTGACCAGGCTGGTCTCAAACTCCTGACCTCAGGTGATCTGCCCACCTTGGCCTCCCAAAGTGCTGGGATTATAGGCATGAGCCCACCATGCCCAGCCTTCAGATCATTCTTCAAAAGGCCATCCAATGTTCTTGTTATACTGAATTAGCTCTGTACTTACAGCCTTGAATGGGACATTATTTCTCATGACTCTGTGCCTTAGTTAACACATACTACTTTCCCTGTCTGACATTCTCCTCCTCTGCTTTGTCTGCTCAACTTCAGAAATCCATTCTGACTGCCTTGTCAGGGTTATGAACTGTACCTCCATGATCTGTATCAATAGATAGAAAAAGATTGCTAAGTACAAGAGTGGAAAGATAGATGAATTTATATGTTTATCATTATACTTAAAGCATCTCTATTTTTCTCCTGTTCTGTCAAATTTTGAGATTTATTACAATTTCTCATACTGATTATAATTTATAAAATTTAGATTTTTTTCCTTTGAATAGGATAAAACTCTTAGATTGTTTGTGGCATAAAAGATTGTGGTTATAATTTTTTTTACTGGTTGTGTCTGTATTAGTCGGTTTTTATACTGCTATAAAGAATGGCCAGAGGCAGGGATTTAGCAAGGAAAGAGGTTTAATTGACACAGTTCAGTGTGGCTGGGAGGTCTCAGGAGCCTTACAATCAAGGTGGAAGGCAAAGGGAAAGCAAGGCGCTTTCTTCACATGGTGGCAGGAAGGAGGAGTGCCGAGCAAAGGGGAAGAGCTCCTTATAAAACCATCAGATCTCATGAGAACTCACTATCATGAGAACAGCATGGGGGAAACTGCCCCCATAATCCAATTACCTCCATCTGGTCTCTCCCTTGACACATGGGATTTATGGGGATTATAATTCAAGAGGAGATTTGGGTGGGGACACAAAGCCTAATTGATAGCATCTAATATATCTCTTTAGTATTAAATTTTACCTTTCCTTCACTATTTCTTTTTATTTATTGGCTTCATTTATATAATTTCTCTTATCATAACATGTAAAATTGTTTTTCATCTTATTTTACTATTTGTTATATTCTATTGCTTTTGCTTCCTCTTTGTCATTTTCTTTTTTTGGAGTGCAGTGGCCCAATTACATCTCACTACAGTCTCAAGCTCCTGGACTCATCCTCTCAGCCTCTTCTGTACTCTCTCAGCTGGGACTACAGGCACATGCCACTATGCCTGACTAATTTTCAAAAATTTTTTGTAGACACAGGGTCTTGTTATATTGCCCAGGCTGGTCTCAAACTCCTTGCCTTAGGCAATTCTCCTGCCTCAGCCTCCCAAGTGTTAGGATTACAGGTGAACCACTGCACCCAGCTGGAATTAATACTTTAAAAAAGTTTCTTTACCCCTTTCCTGTTAACATAAAAATACTAACTAATTTCAATTTGCTGAAAGTTAGATTTTTATTATTAGATTTTACTTAAATCAGTATTTTCTATTAAATACCTCAAAAATCCCAATTAATCACTGTATTCATGCACACCATTCAATTCAAGAGTAAATATTTAGCATCCCAGGGAATTTTGCCTAATACTAAAAGTTTGCATCCTATCAGTAAGTGGAAAACTGGGCAATTTGCTTTTACTAATTTCGTTTAATATGAAAAATGTAAATAATACTTACACTTCTGGCCAAGGTGAAATTAAAGGAAGTAGATTTAACCTATTACCTGAAACAATTAAAAAAAAAAACCAGAAGTAGATTTTAAACAATGGTTTGAAAAGATTGGATGCCAGGAAATAAAGGACAGTGATCTATAAGGCGTAAAAACAGGAGATGAGCTATGTCACTATCCCAGCTTACTACCTGGAGAGAGTTTTCAGAACATGATGAGAAACTCAAGCAAGACCAGAAAGTCTTCCTAAATTGAAGAGACAGAATTGGGAAATGAAGGAGGCCTATGTAGTTAGAATTTGCAGCAGAATACCAGAAAGGAAAGAAATACACAGAGGTAGAATTTCAGATATCCATAGTTCTCCCTCAAGTCTATCAGCTGAACACTTATAAAGTCATTCATGCGGGAAAATTAATCAAGGCTGGGAAATTAACCTTTGAAAGGATTAGATGGAACTATCTTTAAAACGCAAATATGTAAATCATTCCTTTTACCACCAGCAAAATTGAAAAACAGTATCAGGCAGCCTTTTTAGAAGGTTTTTACATCAGTAATGACACAAAATCTGCCCTTTTTAAAATGAGGCTTTTCACCTGTTTGGTGTAAGTTAAAAACAAGACCCAAAAGGATAAAACTTTTTCCAAGTTACTTAACTACATCTAAGAATTAAGCTTAAGAATATTTGTAGGAATTACAAATATATCCAAATCAAATAAGATAAGATGCACAGTATCTACAGCACATCTAAAATCACCAGAAGTGAAAAGAAGCAGAAAAATGTAACTCATCAAGATGAAAAAAATCAACAAATTAAAAGAACCCAGAAACTATTCAGATGATAAAATTAGTAGAAAATAAAATCAAACCAGTTTTTAAAATGACATTCTATATGTTGAAGAAGCAAGAAGGAAGACTGATTGAACATTAGAGATGTAAAATATATAAGAAAGACCCAAATCAAATTTCTGGAAATAAAAACTATAATGTCTAAGAAAAAAAACACATATCATATGATACTGAGGGTATATTAGATATTACAGCAGAAGAAATTAATGAGCTTGAAGATATAGCAAGAGAAACATCAAAAGTAAACACAAGGAAAATAAAACTGAACAGAGTATCAGAGAGCTGTGGAATAAGTTTATATGGCCTAATAATATATGTATAACTGGAATACCAAAATAAGACTAAAGGAAAAGAAGAAAGCACATACAAATATGTGAAAAAATAAGATCACAACATCTTCCTAATGAACTTCAAGCAGAATAAAGCTAAATAAAACAACGAGGCCCACCATAATCAACTTCAATGAATTATTGATAACAAAAATAAATTTAAAGCAGTGAGAGCAAAAAGATACTCCACTCACAAAGAAACAGCAATAAAAAATAACAGCAGAAATTGTTATCAGAAAGAATGCAAGCCAGGGCATAGTGGAATGACATCTTTAAAACAGTGAAAGAAAAAACATTAACCTAGAATTTCTCAGCCAGCAAAACATAACAACCATTTCTCAGTTAAAAAAAAGTTGAGAGTATTTATAACCATGGTCCTGCATGGCAAGAAAGGTTAAAGACAAAAGGAAGATGATACCTGATAACAATTTGGAACTATAAAAAGGAATTTATATCTCCACAAATTATATATATGAGTAATATAATGTTTCTTATTTTTTATTCCTCTGAAAGATAATCAAATGTTTGAAATGAAAATAATAAGAATGTATCAAAAGATATATACCATGTTTAAATATATGACATATAAAACTAAGTAAGGCCAAGAGAGATATAATGGATGTATACTGATGTCAGGTTCTCATACATCATACAATAAAATGATAATAATATTTGAAGCTAGACTGTAATAGTTAAGTATGTACATTATAAACTCTAAAGCAATTACTAAGAATAAAAACAAACAGATGTAACTAATAAATTAATAGTGGAGTTAAAATTAAATCAATATTAATCAATGCAAAAGTCATAAAGAGAGGAAAAAATCAGATAAGACAAATAGAAGGCAAATTTTAAAATGATGGCATTAAATTCAACCATATCAATAATTACCTAAATGTTAATGGTCTAACTACGTCACTTAAAAAGCAGAGATTGTCTGTGTGTAGTAAAAAATTTCCCTTGTCAAAAAAGAGGTCTGGCCTTTGTCTTGTCTTCTGGAATCTAATCTATGTAATATCTGACAGGAGTGCCTTTGCTTAGGGTGGGGCTTGCCACATTAGACAGTTAGATTGGTGGCTGGCCATGCTAGACAGGCTAACCATGTGATTTAGGATGGGGGTTGGCCACTTCAGAGTAGGGGCTTTTGGTCATGTGGTTCAATTTAAAGGAAGATTAAGTTCAAACACATGGGAAATCAATCAATTAATCACACCTACATAATAAAGACTCAATAAAATCTCTGAAGGTCAAAACTTCAGTAAACTGCCCTGGTTGGTTGATGTGATAAATATATTGCCATATGAATGAAATTAAACATCTCTTTGAAGTCTATATTACTTCAAATAATATTTAGAGTATTATAACTAATTCTTAACGTCGCATAATCTGAGAAAAAATTCAAACTGATGTGTAATTATTGTGAACTGAAGGTAAGTGACATAGGTCTCCTGGTGGTATAAAAATCACAGGTAGAAATGCTTAGTTTGAATATAATATTAATATAATATTCAATATAATCAAATATATTCAATATAATAATACTATTTTGAATTTGAAAATCAAAAACAATATTTTAGCACATTTAAATACAAATTTCTGAAAATAAAGCAAAAAAAAGCTTTTAAAATTGCAGTAGGTAGAGTAGGTAGACAAAATATACCATTAGTCTCAGTCACAGTCATAGTCCATCGAGAGAATATGAGAGTTATATGCTAATAAAAGAGAAAATGAAATTTGGAAAAACATAGAAACATGCCGTAATGTGTCCAGATGAAAAGATCAGAATAGTGAAGAGATCCCAAGTTCATATTAACAGAAAGAATCGGTAGAAGGAAGATTAAGATTTTCATTCTACAGGAGAAAATAATAGTGATTAGAGAGTGATTTCCAAATATTTGAACAAATGTGATGAGAAAGTGGGAACGTATTTGTTTGGAATTTTCATAGCCATAGGCCCTTCTGTGTGCAATTTATGGAAAGAGCTGTTTTCTTGACTCTCAAAATATTGACTTTCATCTTTTCAAAACTCTATACCATGAGGGTCAATTAAAGCATATCTCTAGAGTGGCTCTGGAGTAGGGATGGCAGTGACACCACTGTTATTTAAAAGCTCTGAGCTATGAATCAATCAGTGTAAAGGATTCCAGCGGGTGAAACTTGTTTTCAAGTCTCTTATGGTATCTTCACAGAGCTCAGCCACCAACTGTCTTCCATCTGTGTGATACAGAGAACACAACTATTTGGGCTTGAAGTGAAACCAAAGTGATTTATGTTAGATATGAGAATTTTCTGACAGTGATATTTATTAAGGCATAGAATGTGTAACCAATGAAACTCTAATCTCTTTTTTGGAGGTTTTCACACGCAGGTCACCTTCTCCTCTTTCGGTGATGGTTTAAATTTTCTTGAAAGCATGAGATGGACATAATGACTTATTCCAAACACAATTCTTTATAAAAGCAGCACTTCATTTACCCAGCTTCATTTAGGAATAAATTACTCTATAAAACAAATGTTGAAGTAAATAGTTTATTTTCAATGCCAATGTAAATGCTGTTGTAATAAATCTTTCCAAAGTTTATTGAAATTACAATCTATTTAAAAATATTTAGAATTATTTTAAAATTATATTCCAAGCTTTTATTAACAGTTCTTAATATCTTAAATATTTTAATGTATTGAATATATTCTGTCAAAGAATTTTTAAACTTTGTTTTTTCATGCATTAAATTATCTTATTGAAACTTAGCCTCAAAATACATTCTTTCTTTCCTATTGGATTCCCTAGAGTCACATCTAACTGCTGGTGATATGGATGTATTTTAGTTTCCACCGCAATTTTTTAAAAATTTGCTTCTGTTGTTTGTTTGTTGGAAAATCTGATAATGTAGATTTTTAGAATTGTCTCTGAAGTAAGAGTAAATAAGAATTGGATGAGGACCTGACACTATTGTTAAAGAATAAAGTTAGGATCATTATCTATTTGAGAATGTCTTTTTTTCTTCTCAATCCTGTTTTTCACTAGCTATTGAACAGTCCTACAGTCCTGCTTAATTACCATTTGATGAATGTTAAATGTTTTAGTTATCTGTAGCTCTGTAACAAATTACCCTCAAAACTTAGCAGTTTAATATAGTACACATTTAATATCTCAGTTTCTGCGGGTCCAGAATCTGGGCACAAATTAGTTAGGCCCTATGTATTACAGTCTATTTCTCTCTCTCTCTCTCTCTCTCTCTCTCTTTTTTCTCTCATATCAACTAAATCAGCTTCAATCATCACAGCCTCTTACAAGGCTTCAATCAAGCTTTGGGAGTGTTACCTGAAAGGCTCTACTAAGGAAGAATCCACTTCCAAGATCACTTATGTGATTGCTGACAGAGTTCAGTTCCTCAGGGCTCCTGCAAGGAAGATGTCAATTTATCATTGGCTATTACTGGCCATTGGATACTCTCAGTTCCATGCCTCTCAAATATAGCACCTCCTTCATCAAAGTCAGTAAGAGAGAGCTTCCTACTAAGGCAGAAGTCACCGTCTTTTATAAACTAATCACGGAAGCGATATCCCATCACTTTCGTGCTATTTTGTTCATTAGAAGCAAATCACTAGATCCAGCCTCCACTCAAGGGGAGAAATTAACACAGGGCATGAAGACCGGGAGGTGGGAATAATTGGAAGCGATGTCAGAAACTGCCTACTGTAGTTTCTACACCTACCTAATCGCTCAGTCCAGCAGGTATAAAAGTACATTTGTGTTCAACTAAAGTGATTTTTTTCATTGGATTAGTGCATTATCAAGCATATTTATGTGATGTAATAAAATGCATGAGATCCAACTTAACATACATGATTAAATAATAATTTTAAACGGATACAGACTAACCATCTATGTAAGTTTTATTGTTGAGTGAAAACTAATATTTTGGAGTTGAGAGACATTACAGTGTATGTGTTGTATGGATTTGAGCACAATATCAAAGATTTTGTCTTCTTCGAGGCCAAGGATTGGAGGAGGCTTGCCCTGAGGACTGAGCTGCTTGTAGGAGATGAACAGAAGTTTTGAAAACACAACAGCAAGATGGTGAGCAGTGGTGGGAATTACCTAAATAAATGGTAGCAAATTTAGTTTCAACTTAGGTCGCTACTTCTTTAGTTAATATAAAATATAACCTTGCATGTGCCACTTAATGTACTAGACTCAGGAATAACAAAGTAAAAGTGATTTCATTCCTGGAAGTTTGGGTCACATGATAGGAAAAGATCCACTTCAGTCTCAGAGCCACAGTTATACTACTAGTGTAGGGAATGTAACAGTCTGCCTTGGCTAGGCTTAAGGTTTTTTCTTGCATCAAGCCTATACTGACTCACATTGGAAACTAAAAAAAATAGGCTAAATCAGACTAATACCTTCAATGTAACCAGGTGTCCACATTCATAAGCACAAAAATAGCATGAATAAGCTTTTAGAACCCAAATCTAATTCAGACTCAGACTATTTAAAAGATTTAAGTACAAATTCAAGTGGGAAGAAACTGTTTCATTTTAAAGGTGACAGATGTATCCAGAATAGAAAGACACACCACAGGGCTTTGATCTTATATATGAGTCATCTAGTTTGCATTTCGGTTTCAATTTTTAACTTCAGGGGGAAAATATAAGTGATTCTCACTGGAACTGGAAGACAATTATGCATAGCTCACAGATATTATGTTTATTGTATCCTAAGTAATTAAATGTTGTAGCTAGCTAGCAGAGAACAAAGAAAAGCAAAATAAGGTCTCTTCAGAATAAAACTATACCCCATTTATTTCATATTATGACTGTGACAATGATGCTAATGATCGCGCATAAGTATTGCTGATAGCTGCTTCCCAATACCACTGTCCCAAACACATAATTAAATGTTGTCATAGACAGGGTACATTCAAGAGGGCATAGTGCTAAAATATTAAGTACCAACTTACCCACAGGTATTTATTTCTTTAATACTTTTAATTTTCAATTAGCTGATGGAGGATCTAGATTACAGACTAACAACTGGTGAAATTAGAAACACAATACTTCTAAAAAATATATTTTTGCCAAAGTTTGGCATTTTAGTGTCCCTTATTAATAGGTATACCTCCTTTATTCACAATGGTATGTATGACTGTATTTACCTACTCTTGTCCTCTCCCTTTGTCTATACTGCCAGCCTTCCTAGAATAGTGATCAACAATCCAACGCACTGCATTCAGCTTCTGTCTACATGACTTGAACAGAAAAAACATCACTCAAATCACTATAGATCTCCCTTTACCTATATCCAGGGACTTTCTTTTTCTATTTAGTTATACTTCCTAGTAGCATCTGGTCCTGCAGATTTCTCTCCACTCTTACTTTTGAAAAAACAAAAAACAAAAAAGTTCTTCATTCCAGTTGTCCTGTCAGAGACCCTTCAACCTCTGTGTATTATTTAGTTAGTTAGTTGAGTGAACTCCATAAGTGTACTTTGCACGCTCTTCCATTTTTGTTTTACATGTCTGTGTAAATGTGTTTTACATTCTCTGAATGTGGAAAATCTCATCTACTTTCAGAGAACAAATCATCTTTATAGCTATAACTCCAGTTTCTATACCTCTGGCTCTAACCTTCTTCCTGAGCTCCAGATCAATATTCTCATCAGCTCACTGAGCAACTGCCTCTAGTGGTCCTAGAGATATGAGAGATTCAGCATGTCTATAATTAAACTCCCTTTCTTTTTAACTGTACTTTTCTTTTAGTATTTCCTATCCAGCATGATATTTTTATCACTGAACCAGTTGCCTTAACCATCCTTAACTCATTTCTTATGGCTGCCACCCCATAAAATCAACAAAGACTGCCTACCTCTCCCATGTCCTCTGTACCTGCATCCCCTGCTCACTGCCCCCTGGAGTGTCTTCATCCAAATGCTTATCATTTCCCCTAATGGTATCAAAGGAACTTCTTTCCCAATCTCTCCCTGCTTCATGTCTTTCTCTTCCTTTTTGTCAGAAAAATCTTTTAAAATGTGTGATTTATGTTTGTCCTATGCTGCTTAAAAGCCTACCTTATTATCTATAGAACAAGTTCAAGGTAGATTATGCTATAAGGTTCTTTGCCTTTCTGACCCCAATTATCTTTTCATATTAGTCTTTTGACAGTTTTCTTCAAGGATATCTTTCTCTGTCTGCATGGATCTCTTTTATTTCCTAAGTATATTATGCAGTATATGCCTTCATACTTTTACATATGCCTGAAGGAATCTTTTTCCCTCTGCATACCTCTACCAAACTCATATGAGTCTCAAGTTCCATACAAAAGTGGCCCCATGTGTTAGTCCATTCTCATGCTGCTATGAAGAAATACCTGAGACTGGGTAATTTATAAAGAAAAGGGGTTTAATTGACTCACAGTTCCACATGGCTGCGGAGGCCTCAGAAAACTTACAATCATGGCGGAAGTCATCTCTTCACAGGGCAGCAGGAGAGAGAATGAGTGCCAGCAGGGGAAATGTCAGATGGTTATAAAGCCATCAGATCTTGTGAGAACTCACTATCATGAGAACAACATGGGGGAAACCACCCCTATGATTCAATTACCTCCCACCAGGTCCCTCCCTTGACACATGGGGATTAGATACAATTGAAGATAAGATTTGGGTGGGGACACAGCCAGACCATATCATCCCTCTTCTATGAAAGTTTCCCCAGCTTGAAAGTCAAGATTAATTATTATAATTCATTTCTACCATTTTTATTTGGTACACCCATGTATCAAACAATATCAATTAGATTTTATAATTTATATTTGCAAATAGTTATTTTATCTATTGAGCAATGGTCTACTTATGGACGGAGATCTTTCCATGTCTAGCATGTTATAGTTGAGCAATAACTATTTGTTGAATAAACAAATAAATGAGTGCTTTTAAGGGTAAAAAGAACTGACTTTTGTAGGTGATGACTACTTTATTTGGTGTTCCCCCTTACTTACTGCTATTAAAGGCTAAGCTACCTTACATAGTCTTATTCATTCCACTGTTAGTAGCTTTTTATGAAGTGCCATTCTAGTGGGTTCTCAATAATCTGTATTTTAACTATTATGTCTCTAAGGTTGAAATTGTAGCTTGTGTAAAAGTGTTGGTTAAATTTTTAAAAATTATTAGTTTCTTTTTATACATACATATTGAGCATCAGGACATGTGTGGGTTTTATAAATCAAGAATACATGTCCATAAATTTCCAGTGTAGCCCCTCTGTGAGCTTCCATAGGAGGAACAACTTTGTTACACTAGCACCTTTTCTGACTCTGTAGTCAAATATACGCCTTCTTGGTTATGTTCCTAGATACTCAGCTGTTGTCCTCAATGTGCTTCTAACCTATTTTCTATGGAAATAAAGGGCTAAAATCTAAGATTAAAGTTACATATACATAGGAAAGTGGAGAATATCTACTTTTACTTCTGCATTTAATAAATAAATTTTCCTCTCTAAAGAGAAAGGGCTTTAAGAGTTGTAGTTTTCTTTTCCTGGGAATGCAGGACTGTATATAGTCCAGCAGATTCACATAATGGATGATGACAATAAAGCATGACTTACTTTGCTGTATTGAGTCTTAACTCCTTAAAGCTTTTAATTAGTGATGCAGAGAGAAAGACAGAAATGGGTTTCTGCAGTCAGCACAAAACAAATAATGATGAAAAGCCTGCTGTATTGAATAAAAACAGAGTATTTGCATGGGAGGCTCACTCTAGGACTTTGTGTCTCGTTATTTAGGGTCTGCTCCAATGGTTTATCTACTTCCCAAAGGACTTCCAGCCTTTTAAATGAGATGATCTATTTGGAAATAAAGACTTATACTGCGTTGCATACAGATGCTGAAAATGAAATTCTGTAGATTCCCAAAAGATCAACTATGAAGTTTCTGAATCAGGAGAGTCTTGCCAATGTTGGTGAATCAAAATCTGGGAACTAAGTTAGCAGCACATCTTTAATTTAGAAAATAATATATGTTAAGAACTTGACTATGAAAATATTACTAGTTGAAGCATTTTATATGTGTCATAAATATATGTAGGAATTTTTAGGGTTACAAATATATGTATTATATGATGTGATATATTAGATATAGACTGGCAACCCTATTCACTTATTAACCAATTCATCTATTCAGCATGTATCATTTATAAAGTCAGAAAGCTATTGATTGCCTGCTACATACGTGTGATATACATTAACAATATTTAAGTGAATAAGAGCAAATCCCTGACATTGTAGACCTTTCAGTTCAATGGAAGACGAACACGAACAAATAAAGGAAACAAGAGTCTGAGAAGGGCTAAGATAGTGAAAGATTGGAACACTATAGAAGCACAAAACAGAATGCCGAACTTAAGACTTGGATGGGTCTAGGAAGCTTTCTTGGAAGAGAAAATGTCTTGTGACGATGGTGGCAAGGAGTTTCATATAAAGAAATATAATAAATTTGAAATATGTTAACTGAGAGGGAGCATGGTAGAAAACTGCAATAATCTAAGTATGGCTACATCAAAACAGAAGAGCAGGAGCTTTATGAGACTCAAGTGAAAGTTTAGTGGTTTTTGAATGTCAGGGAATATAGTTGATCCATAGAGGGATAGGAAAGGGGCAGATTGTGGTCACTTTTAGCAACCCTACTGAGGATATGAGCAGAAATCTCATAAGGAGAAGTTTTTCCCAGTAATTTTTGGCAGACTGGCAGAGTGAGGATATTAGATATGAGGTAGTGGCAGGAACCAAAGTGCAGATATTTGGCTCACTTTTGACTAGTTGGTACGAACTGCAATTTAAAGAGCAAGGAGGGATGTAGTTAGTTGCACTCACTGCATCCTTTTCTTCCTCCCATGCAAACACTAATATTTGTCATCCATCTCACCCTGCCTATGGGCCCCAGAGGAAGCCCACAGCCCTTCCTCCCAGAGGAAGCCAACTCCCCTCCTATTACAGGAATGGGCACAAGAGGACTAATGATTATATCATCTTTTTGCAAGTAATCAGTTCAGAAATAGGCTTATGATCTAGTTTTGGCCAATGCAGTGTGAAAAGAAGGAATTTGCTCTTCTGGGTGAACTTTCATAGCTATTTTTTGTTTTGATCTGAATGATTTCATGTTTGATTGGTTGCTGCCAACACATTATAAACCTGTGAGTGATGCTGTCACACAGTATGTAAGGGGGAAACAGTGTAGTGTTGCACTGTCTAATACAGAAGGTACTAGCCCTAAGTGGTTATTAAATTTAAACTTAACTTACTGAGAATTAAATAATATAAAAAATTAGTTTCTAAAAGTCACTTGCACTTTTCCAGTGCCACATGTGGCTAATGGTTAACATTGGATAGTGTTGAAAAAGAACATTTCTATTATTAGAGAAAGATCTATTGGATGGTGTTGGTCTAGAGAATCACAATGAAACAGCACTGGAAACATAAGATTAAATCAATCCTGAAGCTTGCCCTACCCCTGGACTTTCAGACATGTGAACAAATAAATGCCATTGTTGTTTAAGCCAGTTTGAGCTAAGTGTTCAATTCCTTCTAGCTGGAAGCATCCTAGCTAATTAGAGTTAAGCTGTTTAAACATTGAACATTAAGATATTTTGTGCACCAAATAAGAACATTGATTCCCTTAAATGATGGATGCTGTCATTATAACTAATCCTTCACTCACATTTTTTTGGCCAACTAATAAAGGAATAATTAAATAAATTACAAAGCTCCTTTCACTTATTATTTTATGTTTTTCTCACAAAAAAAAAGCCTTTTTTTTTTCTGAGATTAACTTATTTGGGTCATTTAAAATAAGATGTAACATTTTTCAAGTTTTACATTGAAAGTCCAGCTGAAGCACCCAAGACAAGATTCTTTGATTTAACAAGACAAAGGCCGGCAACTTTTCAAAGCCACGTAGCCTGATATGGTTTAACATCAGATGTAACTGTCAACCCTCTTGCACACTATCCCTTCCTATTTGTCATATTTAGGTGCTGGATGGGATTCATTAAAGGGCAATGTAACAATAGGGGGCAATTATATTTTTATCATGAAGCAATCACTTTTCTCGGAAAAGCTCAGGCACCCATCTGAGGCTCCTGCCCTAGGGGGGCAGTTTTCTTTTGATAATCTCACCTATTGAACTGTCATGTTCCATTGCTCAATTAATTTAGCCCAGTAGATGGTTCAATAGAAAATGTTCCCTCTATTCAGGCGATTTGATGACTCTCTCTGTTCTTTCAGACTGAACACAGTGAAATTGTGGGCATAAGTTCTTGCAGCTGCACACAAAAGCTCTCAAACCCCTAGCTGCCCGGGGGTGTCCTCCCTGTGGCTCCGGGCTCTAAGGCACATGGAAAGGGAGTGTCTCTGAGTTTTCCTCATCCCTCCTAGAAACAACTAGGCAGCTTTTACTGCAGTCAAGACATTCAAATTAAAGAAATAACTAAAATGTCAGATTTGAGATTTGGCTCTGACTCCAACAAAACGATAAACGCTTGTATTTGTTACAGAGAGATTGATCTTACCTGCTCTACCCATTGTTCAAAACATTTGTTTCATCTTTTATTAAAACATATCTTTGAATGCCAATAACGGTAGTTACTGTATTTAGCTCTCACTTTTAAATTGTCCTTTAATAATTAAATTAAATGTAGTAATGTTTGAAGTTTAAAAAATTTCAAAAGAATCCGTAGAATAGTAAAAGTCTCCTCACTTCTACCTTATTGCCTTTAATCTCACTCTTTTCTTTCAGATAATCATTATCAAATGGGGTAGATTTACTTCTACAGATGTTTCTATATGTTCAAATACACATGTGCATACACACAGGTGCATGTTGTGTGCCATTTTACATAAATGAAATCCTACACTATGCATGTTATTCAGCTAGCTTCATTATACTTTTCAAAATGTCTTAAAGATAATTTCATTGTGTACATAGAATACTATTTCATGTAAGGAAGAAAAGCTCCATAGTAGTTTATACCATAGAATCATATGATTTCTTAACCTTTTTATTAACGATGGCAATATAGATTATTTCCACTTTTTCCCAATATTACAAACAGTGCTGTAAAGAACATCCATGCGCATATGTACACATGCATATATCTGTGATTATGTATAACTCTAAATGCCAGTGAAGTTTCTGCAATCAAAAGTGATTGGAGGGCCAGACAAGATGGCTCATGCTTGTAATCCTAGTACTTGGGGAGGCCATCGCAGGAGGAATGCTTGAGGCACTGAGATTGAGAGTAGCCTGAGGAGCATAGCAAGATTCCTGTCCACAAAATTAAAAAAAAATATTATCCCCAGGCATCGTGGCATGCTCACACCACTGGACTCCAGCCTGGGCTACAGAGCAAGACTCTGTTTCAAAAAAAAAAATTAAAAATCCTTTTATGGGTGCAGTGGCTCATGCCTACAATCCTAGCACTTTGAGATGCTGAGGTAGGAGGATCACTTGAGACCAGGAGTCCAAGACCAGCCTGATCAACATAGTGTAACCCCCATCTCCAAAAAAAGTAGTAATTGCACACAATACATTTTGATAAGTTGCATTCTGAAACAGATCTAGATACTCATTTCCCACACCTTCACAACTCTCAGTATTAGCAATTTCTAAATTTTTTTTCTTTGGAAAGCTGATGACCAATAAATACATTTATAATTATTTGATTACCAGTGAAGTTAAGGATGTACTTACATATTTTCTGTAATTTTAAAATCATTCTTCCTGCTTATATTGCCTGCTTATATATTTATACATTTAAAAAATTAGGGTTTTTTAATTAATTTGTGATATCTATGATAGATTTATGATATTTATAATGGATAACAAGCCTTTGTTTTATCTGTGACAGATATTTATTCCTGTTTTTTCCTCTCCGTCTTTTTCTTTTTCTCTCTCTTTAATGTATGCCATCCGTTTCCCTTGTAAAATATTTACAGTTAATTTGTAGGTATCTATTTCAAACTATTATATTTTATATTTTTTGTTTTAATGTTTTTAAATTGACAGATAAAATTGTATATAATTATTATATATAATATGATATTTTGAAGTATCTACACATTGTGGAATGACTAAATCCAGCTAATTGACATAGGCAGTACTATATACAGTGATCACTTTTTGTGGTGCAAACACAATATTCACTCTCAGTATTTTTCAAGAATACAATATGTTGTTATTAACTGCAGTCATCAGGTTGCACAATAGATCTATTAAACTTATTCTTCCTATCCGATGGAAATTTTCTGTCCTTTGACTAACATTTTCCCAGCCCCTGGTAACCAGTATTCTATTCTCTACTTCTACTAAATCAATTTTTTTTTAAGTTCCACATATAAGTGAGATCATTTGGTATTTTTCTTTCTGTGCCTGGCTTATTTAACTTAACTTAATGTCCCCTAGGCTCATCTATGTTGTCACAAATGATCATATTTTCCTTCCCTTTTGGCTAAATAGCGTTCCACGGTATATATATAAACACATTTTATATATCCATTCATCAACCGATGGATGCTTAGGTTGTTTTATTATATATGATGGCATTGACATTGTAGTGCATTGCAATGAACATGGTAGTGCAAATATCTCTTTCACATACTGGTTTCATTTTATTTGAATATAGACTTAGTACTAGGATTCCTGTATTGTATGATAGTTCTATTTTTGTTTTACTTATTTATTTATTTTTGAGATAAGGTATCAGTTTGTCACCCAGGCTGGAGGGTAGTGGCACCATGACGGCTCACCATAGCTTCAACTTCCTAAGCTCAGGTGATCCTCCCACTTCAGCCTCCCAAGTAGCTGAGACTACAAGCACAGGCTGCCATGCCTAGCTAATTTTTGTATTTTTTGTAGAGCTGGGGTTTCACCATGTTGCCCAGGATGGTCTCGACGTCCTGGGCTCAAGAAATCTGCCCACCTCAGTCTCCCAAATTGTTGGGATTACAGGTGTGAGCCACTGTACCTGGCCTCTATAATTTTTTGAGAAATCTCCATATTTTTCATAATGGCTGTACTAATTTACATTCCCATCAACAGTGTGCAAGTGTTCCCTTCCTTCCACATCTTTACCAACACTCATCTTTTGTCTTTCTGATGATAACAATTCTAACAGGTGGGAGGTAAAATCTCACTGTGATTTTAATTTGCATTTCTCTGATGATTAGTAATGTTGAGCATTTTTTCATATCCAACTATATTTTGGCTTCTGGATTCCTCATTTTAATCAGATTAAACTCTCACCATCTCAAGATAATTAACTGGTAGTCTGTAGGTTATTCTACTAAATTCATGATTTAAATATACATCTTTAAACCATTTGGGGGTATCTTTGCAAATAATGAAAGATAAGGATTAAATAAAATAGGGGTTTATTTCTAAATGGATATTAAGTTTTCCTAGGTTTCTTTTTACCCCATTGATTTGAAGTACTGTGTACATCTACATCATACTAAATTTTCACATATACATTAGTATGTTTCTAAATTTTCTATTTTGATACATAGATATTTGTGCATTTCCCCCCCAATATATTATTGTTTTAATTGTTCTAGCTTTACATTTCTGCTATATATTTGATTTCTGGTAAAATAACTCATTCCATTTATTTTTCATTTTTCATAAGTTCTTGACTATTATTAGATATTTTTCCTTCAATGTTTACTTTAGAATTAATCATGAAAATTCCATGATATATTTTGTTAACATTTTGTATTCGCTTCGATGGTTTTATAGAATAATTTGAGAGAAATTGACATCATCAAAATACTGACTCCTTCAATCTAGACACATATTGTGACACTCCATTTATTCATCATCTTTTATGTTCTTCAGCATATTTTTATAAGTTTCAACATACTGGTTTTACAGAGTTCTTTCTTAAAATTTATTCCTATACATTTATTCTGAAATACTCATAGGAATTTCTTTTTATGGATTCTGACACCAACAGAAACTATCTTACATTTTCCCTTTTACATAGGAAGCAGATGGAATTAACAGACTACTAATCTTTTATATTGTTTTGTGCATGTATCTGGAATATTAGTTTGTCCTTTACTGACATATATTTTTTCAAGTATTTTTCTCATTATTTATACATAATTTTTTAATGTTTTATGTGTTGCTGAGGATTTTAAGACAGGTAAATAGGAGAACAAGAATGGGAATGCCCATTACAGCTTTCTGTGTCTGTGTGTGATGTTGTACTGTTAAGCATAGTGCAGGTGTCTGTTTCTGAGAGGATGAAAAGCAACTGACAGGATGCAGATGTAGCAAAACAGGGAGACCTTACAAGCACTGGTAAGTGGAGAAAGTAAGAATCAGCAACTTAACACAATATTATTTATGCAAATTTAAGATACTTCTATGCACACCACCACTAAATATTTCCCAGAGGCACAAAAGAATGCATATGCATAAATATATTAGAATAGTAACCTGTAGAATAAGAGAGAAAATAATGGGACTAGAAAATAGTTTGATCAAGAGGGAACTTTGCTTAGACCAATAATGATAGTGAGCCAAGAACAGAAAAGTCGACTAGATTAATTCATCACTCACCTTTCGAATGTAATCAGGGAGGTAGTGAGGGGACAAAATAAAAATGGATATGTAAATTTTATGACAGGCTTTAAAAAAATAGCCTCATGATACTATACATTTGGATACATACCCTTCTCTGTATTTTGTATATATGTAATAATGTTTAATTATAACCCTGGTTTTATTATGCTCAAAATAAGAAAGTTCTTTGTGCTTTTTATGTGTTTTGTAATTGAAGAGCTTAACATCGCTCCCTGTGAGGTGAATTCCTATGCTCATATGGAGTAACTGAAGTACAAAAAATAATTTGTTTATTTTTTGCTCACAATTTTTATCATGCACAATTGAGTCACATTACTTCTTAAATCAGAGCAATCTTCATATGTATTGTTAAATACACAAGCCATTCAGGACTCTAAGTATTTATAGAATCCAACACAACTTAGTCCTTGATTTTTACATGTATAACACTCAATGCTAGTTATTTGTAAAGGATATTAGATTAAGCAAAAATGTTGTGAGATCAAATGCACTTATTTAATAGAGTCAATGGAGAGTAAAGTTAGTGTATAATGTGTTTGGGTATCAGTGGTATGTTTTTAATGATTTTCATTATGTTTGCAGAACAATTTTATTGATCTTTCAAGGGGAAATATTTACATTCTTTTAGAAGATTGAATTCTAGTGATAATTTGACATTACATTTAGCAAGTAGGGGAAAAAGAAATAGCGGTCATAAATGAGGAACAGGGTAAGTGTGAACGTGTAAACTGATGACAGGGCAGATGCAGTTGGAAATGCTGAGAAACAACCCGATCATCCTTCAAAAAACTGCATTTCCAATATTGTATGTGGGTTATAGTCAAGTGGCATTATTTCCTAAGGGATGAGAAATTTTCAAAGCTATAAAATACTCATAGTAAAATCAATCTATCTAATAGAGATAACTTAAAAAGCATGCATGTCTCTTAGTAAAAATCTGAGATGATTTTTGTGTTGAAGTCCAATTACTTTCTCAAACATACCTACGTTCTAGGTTTTTTTATTGATGCATCACAGGATTATAGAACTTAAATCTGGAAGTGACTTAGACATCATTTTGTTAGATTTCTTATTTTTGTAAGAACCCCAAACAAACAAACAAAAAAACACCCCTGAAGTCAAGTTCTAAAACTGAGTATGAACATGGCATGATCCTAAAAGGGGGACATATTGTGAAATATTTAGGGTTGGTGTGCATAGAAGTATCACTAATGGAGACATGATACTGAGAAGTGAAAGGTGCATTTATAATTTCCAAAGCATCAGTGTTTCTGTGCTTCAGCTGAAATCACAGTTGGCATAGATATCAAAAAGGAGAAGAAATATCTTAACAGGAAAGGTGTAGAAGAGCTCTTGCTTAAAAACAGTAACAATTGCTTTGGGAGGAATTAATATACCTAACTGCCTTATAGGGCTTCAATAATTAAAATCTACAATAAAAAGGATATCAGCCTTAATTGGGTATTAAATGTGAATGTAAATCAATTTAAATGGTGATAAATAGCACCTTATATTCTTGGGAACTTATTCCAAGAGTGTCAAACTATATTTTCATTCATCTATTTTATTTGGCAACTGTAACTCGACTTTGATTGCATATATCCCTACCTCAAATCCTAAATAATATATTTTAATTAATCATCCATACTTATAGGTTGGTTTCTGACTTTCCCAAGGTGAGCTTAGCTGCAGTTTTTTTAGTCCTATTCATATACTGAGTCTTGATAAATATATCCTAGAATCATTATAAGATAATTGGTATTAAAAGGACATCCTGAACCATTTTCATGACATTTGTTAATTTTAGATAAAAATATATTTTTAAAAATTGATTAGGGTAGAGAGGAGAGCAATATAGTAGGAAGCATAGTACATTTAAAATCAGAATATTTGCATGGATGCATTACATATGTTATTTTGCAAAATCATTAATGTTTCCAAATATTTGTCTCCTGTAACAAAATATGGATAGGAATGCTTGCTCAATATGGTAAAAAGGAGAAAATAATTTCATTATTTCATTTTCAATGGCAAACTGATCTTGAGCCAAAATTTTAAGAATAACTCTTTCTCAAGAAAAAATAAGTAAAATCCGTTGTAAGTTTGTTAATTAATCAAAAACTCATTGGAATGAGTTAGTGCATCTATATTATCATACCCAAATTTTGCCCAAAATAGGAGATTAATGAATTTAACTATACAAAGTGTGAAGTTTTCTTCCTGTCAAAAAATTAATTACCAAAATACAAACTATGGTAGAGGAAACAATATTTGCAAAGAATATGATTAGAGAAGTCAAAATTTTTTAAAAATAATATCCTTTAAATTTAAGACAAAGTACTCAATGGCATTCAAGATGAAATAAATACAAATTAAAAATACTAGAGCTCATTTTTCATCTGTTAGTTTTGCAAAGATCAGTTTGATAACACTTTGTGTTGGTCTCTGACTGAGTGAATAAACACTCATACATTTCTTATAAGCATTCAAACTGTTACAAATTCTCCAAAAGGAAATTGGGCAATGTGTATTAATATTAAGACTATATTTACACTTAACTTTGCATTTCTACTTCTAAGATATTTGAACAAATGTTTACATGGTGACCCATGGCAGTATAGTTTATAATATCAGAAGACTAGAACCAAACATACGTCTGATGAAAGGACATTGGTTTGATAAATTATGTTACATTTATACAATGGAATATTATGCAACCATTAAAATAAATACATACTATTTGGAATAATCTTCCAAATATAGTATGTGTAGTATTCTGCTATTTTAAACCATTTATGTTCCCCATTTTTCATTTTTGTAAAATGAATGAATCGTCATAATTTCTGTATGCATAGAATACCTAGGATGTTACAAAAACAAATATGTTTGTCCCTGAGAGACAGGTGATCACAGTTGAAAGTGAGACATCAATTCATACCTTTTTGTAATGTTTCAATTTTATTTTTACTGTACTCATTTTTTTCTGTCATAAAAATAGTTGATTTTTATACATTGTATTTAAAGTCAGTCCACAGTGATAATAGCCTCAGTAAATAGCATCTACCGAAGATACCTCCACATTTTATAGGAGAGTCTCCAGCTGTTCTTGTATTTTTAGTGGCTTTTGAAATTTTAGAGGACTCCTCCATGAATTTTTTTCTAACTCTTGATCCAGTGGATCCTGAGACATTTTAACTTGGAGTTATCCAATAAGAAGTCAGATTTCATTTTTATCTCAAAATAGTCACCTCTACTTTTCTGTCCTCAGTTCTTGGAATCTTCTTTAAAATGTAGATAGCTGAACATGTGTTGTAAGCCTGGAATATCCCACAGTCTTAAACATGAGAAAGGACATATTAATTTAGTGCTATACTAGACAATGCAGGCTATCTGGTCACCATTCATTTACACACTTTTTAACAGCCCAAGGAAACAATTAGAACCATTCTGAAATTTGGGTCCACAGCCAATTCATTCATGTAGATGCTTTATATTTTGTATCTGCATCCCATAGCTTTTTTACTGAACAACTGGCCGGTATTTAACAAACTAATATAAGTAAAATCTCTTAGAGTTGTCTAGAACATAATGAACACTATATAAATAATAGCTAATGTTATTATTTTATTAATAGTAGGATAGTTTATGTAACTTTTAAGAATTTCAATTACTATAATTCTCTGAAGATAAACTAAAAAATCAAGATTTTTGCAATATTTCAAAATACAAGTGGAATGGTCACGTGAGAAAAGTAATCGCTCATTTGAAAAAACAAGCAATTTATTTAAAAAATCTTTTAACAGCTATTTTTCTCCACATTCCAACACAATTTTTTACCATGTATGGAAGCTTGGAAGATTTTGAATCTTTAAGGATCAATGTCAGTGCTGCAAACTTGTGTTTACAGTTTCAGTCTGTGAACCTCTGCGGCTGTGATTTTAAAATTACGCCAATGTTTACTTCTCTGAAATATAAGAAACAGCCCTTCTACAGGACTGCTTTTATAAACAGTATTGCCTGTAGGTAGTGGGATAAATTATGGCCTAGAATTCTAAGGGGCAGCCCCATCCATCTGAATATGAACTGTTCATGCACGAAGACGGAATTTGGACCAATTCCCAACACAATTGATGACAAAACCTCACAGAGGCCAATCCTCTCCTATTTTAAAATGGATTTGTGCATTTGTTTTTAATTTTGGAAGCCCCTCTTCATAGGTATGTAATTTGGATAATAATTTCTTTTTCTTTACTCAATTTATTGGGGGCTTATAATTTATTATTTTTTACTATTTTAACTTTAATTGAATTTTATTTGTTGAAACTTTAAAAAAACTTATGGATATGTAGTAAGTATATATATATTTATGAGGTACATGAGATATTTTGATACAGTTATGCAGTGCATAACAATCGCATCAAGGTAAATGGAGTATCCATCACTTCAAGCATTTATTTCTTTGTGTTAAAAATTTCCATTATACTTTCTGTTATTTAGAAATATACAATAAATTATTGTTGGTTGTAGTCACTCTGTTTTGCTATTAAATACCAGATCTTATTCATTCTATCTAACTATATATTTATAAATGTTAATCAACCCCACTCTTCCCATCCTCAGCTTCCTTTCTCAGCCTCTAGTAACCATTATTCTACTCTCTATCTTCATGAGTTTTATTGTTTTAATTTTTAGCTCCTACAGATAAATGAGAACATGCAAAATGTGTCTTGACTATGCCTGGCTTATTTCACTTAACATTATGTCCTCCAGTTCCATCCATATTGTTGCAATTGACAGAATCTTATTTTTTTTTATGGGTGAATAGTAGTCCACTGTGTAAATGTACCACATTTTCATTATCCATTCATGTGTGGATGGACACTTAGGTTGCTTCCAAATCTTGGCTATTGTGAACAGTGCTGCAATAAACATGGGAGTGCATATATCTCTTTGGTATATTGATTTCCTTTCTTGTGAATATATACCTAGCAGTGGGATTGCTGGATCATATGGTAGCTAAATTTATAGTTTTTTGAGGTACCTCCATACTGTTCTTCATGGTGGCTGTTATTTATTTACATTCCCACCAATAATGTATGAGGGTTTCCTTTTCTCCACATGCTTGCCAGCATTTATTGTTGCCTGTCTTTTGAATAAAAGCCATTTTAGCTGAGGTAAGATAATATCTCCTTGCAGTTTTGATTTGCATTTTTCTGATGATCAGTGATGTTGAGCACTTTTTCATATTTTTGTTTGCCATTTATATGTCTTCTTCTGAATCTACTCAGATCTTTTGCCCATTTTTAGTGGGATTATTAGATTTTTTCCTATAGAGATGTATGACCTCCTTGTATATTGTGGTTATTAACCCATTGTCAGATGGATAGTTTGCAAATACATTTTTTTCTGTTCTATGCATTGTCTCTTCATTTATTTGATTGTTTCTTTTGCTGTGTAGAAGCTTTTAAACTTGATATGATCCCGTGTGTCCATTTTTGCTTTCATTGCCTGTGCTTCTAGAACACTAATCAAGAAATTTTTCTTCAGTACAATCTCCTAGAGACTTTCTCCAGTGTTTTCCTTTAGTAGTTTCACAGTTTGAGGTCTTAGATGTAAGTCTTTAATTCATTTTGATTTTATTTTTTGAATGTGGTGAGAGACAGGGATCCAGTTTCATTCTTTTGCATATGGATATCCAGTTTTCCCAGCACCATTTATTGAAGAGACTGTCCTTTCTCCAATATATGTTTTTGGCACTTTTGTCAAAAATGAGTTTACTTAAGTGTATGGATTTATTTCTGGTTTCTTTATTCTGTACCATTGGTATATGTGTCTGTTTTTATGCCAGTATCCGTCACGTTTTGGCTACTATAGCTCTATAATATAATTTGAAATCAGATAATGTGATTTCTCTAGTTCTGTTCTTTTTGCTTAAGATGACTTTAACTATTCTTGCTCTTTTGTGGTCCATGTACATTTTAGGATTATTTTTTCTATTTCTGTGATGAATGTCATTGGTACTTTCATAGGGATTGCATTGAATCTGTAGCTTGCTTTGGATAGTATGAACATTTTTAATAATATTGATAATTCCAATCCTAAACTTGGAATGTATTTTCATATTTTGTGCCCTCTTCAATTTCCTGCATCAATGTTTTAATTTTTATTGTCAAGACTCACTTCTCTGGTTAATTCTTAGATATTTGTGTTTATTTGTAGCTATTGCAAACTGTATAACTTTGTTGATTTCTTTCTTGCATTGTTCACTGTTGTCATATAGAAATGCTACTGATTTTTGAATGTTGATTTTGTATCCTGCAGCTTTGCTGAATTTGTTTATCAGTTCTAATAGTTTTCTGGAGGAGGTTTTCTGAATATCAGATCATATTGACTGCAAACAAGAATAATTTGGCTTCTTCCTTTCTAAATTAGATGTCCTTTATTTCTTTCTCTCATCTGATTGCTCTAGCTAGGACTTCAAATACTATGTTGATTACCAGTGGAGAAAATGGGCAACCTTGTCTTTTTCCAGGTGTCAGAAGAAAGTTTTTAAGTTTTTTTCCATTCAGTCTGATAACATATTTCTTCTGTACACAGTTTTTAGGGCGCTTTTCTTCATGAAGAGATGTTGAATTTTATCAAATGCTTATTCAGCATTAATTGAAATGATCATATGGTTTTTGTCCTTTATTCTGTTGAGATGATATATCAAATTGATTTGAGTATATTGGACCATCCTTGCATCCCTGGAATAAAACCACTTGGTTATGATGAATTATTATCTTTTTAATGGTTATTGAATTTTGTTTGCTAGTGTTTTGTTGAAAATTTTTTGCATCAATGTTCGTCAGTTATATTGGCCTGCAGTTTTCTTTTTTTGTGTGTCTTTGTCTGATTTTGGTATCAGAATAATACTGGCATCATAGAATAAGTTTGGAAGTATTCCCTACTCTGTTAATTTTTTGGAAGGGTTTCAGTAGGTCTGGTATTAGCTCCTTTTTAAAAATGTTTGGTAGAATTCATCGGTGAAGTTATTGGGTCCTGGGCTTTTCTTAGCTGAGAGACTTTTAAGTACGGTTTTGTACTTAAGTACTTTTAAGTACTCATTACTTGATGTTGGTCTATCTGGGTTTTCTATTTTTTTTATGGTTCAATCTTGGTAGGTTGTATGTGTCTAGGACTTTATCCATTTCTGTTAGGTTTTCCAATTTATTTGCATACAGTTGTTCATAGTAGTCTCTAATGATCCTTTGAGTTTCTGGAGTATCCATTATAATATCTCCTTTTTCATATCTGATTTTACTTATTTGTGTCTTGTCTCTTTTCTTAGTCTGGCTACAGATTTGTTGATTTTGTTTATTTTTTTCAAAAAATCAACTTTTCATTTCATTGATTTTTTTGTATTGTTTTTAGTTTCAATTTTATTTATTTCATTCAGCCTGAATGTCTTAATGTAGTCTTATTTGGGTTAAATCTGCTTGGTATTCTATAACTCTCTCTACTTCAATATTGTTATTTTTCTCTGTGTTTGGAAAGTTCTCTATTATTATCTCTTTGAATAAATGTTCTCTTCTGATCTTTCTCTCTATCTCCTTTTTAAGGTCAATAACTTAGATTTTCTCTTTTGAGGCTGTTTTCTAGGTCCTGCAGGAATGATTTATTCTTTTTTATTGTTTTTTTCTGTCTCCTCTAACCAAATAGTTTGTCTACAAGCTTACTAATTGTTTCTTCTGCTTAATCAGTTCTGCTGTTTCTTCTGCTTAATCAGTTCTGCTGTTGAGAGACTAATGAATTCTTCAGTGTGTTGATTGAATTTTCCAGATCCAGAATTTCTGCTCGATTAAAAAAATTATTTCTTTGTTAAATTTATCTGATGGGATTCTGAATTCCTTCTCTGTGTTATCTTGAATTTTGTTGAGCTTTCTCAAAACAAATATTTTGAATTCTGTGTCAAAAGGTCACATATCTCTGTCAATCTAGGATTTGTTGCCTTATTTAGTTTGTTTGGTGAGGTCATGTTTTCCTGGATGGTCTTGATGTTTGTGGATGTTTATCAATGTCTGGGCATTGAAGAGTTAAGTATTCACTGTAGGCTTCAGAGTCTGGACTTGTTTGTACCCATCCTTCTTGGGAAGGCTTTCCAAGTATTCAAAGTAAATTGAGAGTTGTAATCTAAATCTTTGGTCGCTGCAGCAACGTCTGCCATTAGGCAGCACCCCAAACCCAGTAACACTGTGACTCTTGCAGAATTGTAGACATATAGCCGTGGTGTTCTCAAGTAAGATCTGGAAGAATTCCTTAGATTACTAGGCAGAGACTATTGTTCTCTTTCTTTACTCTCCCCCAAACAAACGGAGTCTGTTTCTCCATGCTGAGCTGTGAGAGAAGTGACAAAAGCACCCCTATGGCTGCCACCACTGGGACTGTGGTGGGTCAGACCCAAAATCAACACAGCACTGAGTCTTGCCCAAGACCTGTGATGTTCACTGGCTACTGCTGCTATTCACTCATGGCCCAAGGTCTCTTCAGTCAGCAGGTGGCAAATCCAGCCAGGCATGTGTCTTTCCCTTCAGGGTGGTGAGTTTCCCCTCCTGGCCAAGGATGGGATCAGAAATGCCATCTAGGAGCCTGGAGTTGGGAACTGTAAGAGTCTGACTGTTGCTCTATTCTACTGTGACTGAGCTGGCACCCAAACCCCAAGACAAAGTTCTTTCCACTCTTTTCTATCCTTTCCTCATGCAGAAGTAGTCTCTCCCTATGGCCACCATAGCTGGGAATGCACTGGGTCCTACCTGAAGCCAGCACAACCATGGGTCTCACCCAGGCCCACAGCAAGTACTGCCTGGGTACCACTGATGCTTATTCAAGGGCTCTTTAATCAGCAGGTGGTGAATCCTGCAGGACTAGGTCTTTCCCTCCAAGGCAGTGGGTTCCCTTCTGGACTAAAGTGTATCTCGAAATGTCATCAAGGAGTTAGGGTCTGGAATGGGGGGGACTCAGGACTCTGCCTGGTGCCCTATCCTACCGTGGCTGAGTGAGTATCTGAGTTGCAAGACAAAGTCCTCTTTACTCTCTTTTTTTCTCCTGGAGCAGAAAGAAGGAGTCTCTCTCCTGGAACTGTGAGCTGCACTACCTGGAGTTGCAGGAGGGGTGATGCAAGCACTCTCTTGGATGACTCAGCTGGTTTCTCACTAGGCCACAAGCGCCCCAAGTCCACTCATTCTAAGTTCATCACAGCACCAGGACTTTGCCCAGGAATTCCATTCCTTGTGGCCTAGACCATCTTTCAAGTTTATTTAGGACCATAGACTGATTTAGCCCATCGTGATGGGGCTAGTTGTAACTCAGGTTCTGACGTCTGTGATGGAAGATTCCTCTGTGGTTAGGACTGATCTAAATGCTTCCTCTGTGGGTGCCATCTGAATTCTCCCCCATCTTGCTGTCTGCTATGACAGGGCAATACTGAGTTCCAATGCAAAAGCCTGCAATCACTGCACTTGTTCTCTGCCAAGGGTACAGATTCCCTCTGTGCCACATGGTCACTGCTGAGGAGCTGGGGGAGAGGCGTTGTCAGCAATTCAAGACTGTCTTTCCTATCCTCGTCTGTGCCTCTTTCCTTGATAGGATGTTAAAACCAGGTATTGTGATTGCGCACCTGAGTTTTGGTTCTTCTGAAGGTGCTTTTTTTTGTGTGGATAGTTCTTCAATTTGGGGTTCCTGTAGTGGGGATGATCATTGGAGGGTTCTATTCAGCCATCTTGCTTCACCCCCTCCTTGGGTGACACTGCATTGATAGTTACTAACACAGCAAAGTGATGAAAGGACACATAAAATAACAGTTTTTGAAAGCCTTAGCTTATTCTATTTAGTTATAAATTCCTACTAGACATATATTTTCTATGAAATATATTCTTGGTATTATTGAAATAGACATACATATAAAATTAACTCTAATTATTTTATGGTTTGCACAATTACTAAATAATTTCATGTACAATATTCGTGTTAAGAACTTAAGAACCACTCCACCAAATCAGTTTTTAATAAAGAAACATCATTACTATCAACAATATTTGTAGGATTTTTGTATTTAACTTTGAAAATAAAGGATCTTGAAACTCTCTAAAGTACCGGTAGCTTTTAGAAAACAAGCTGATGTCACCTCATAGTATGAGTGTCCTATAAAAGTTTAAATAGTCTAATAGGATCTTCTATGAGAGTCAACCTCTTTCAAAGCCCTCAATATTATCGCACACGAGCAAGATGAAGGAGATACTCTCCCATGGAGACTTTTTTGCAGTATGCCAAAGTAAATATCTGTAGATAATGCACGCAAACACACCTAAAACTGCATTTCAAAGGAGCTAAAAGAAATTTAGAGACCAAAGCCACCAATTAGGAAAGCCTTTTTGAAGTATTTCACCACTCCTTGGAGATTAAACATGTAGCAAAATACCCTGGTGTTAGATACCAATGCTAAAACAATACAGGTGGAATTTCTTTTTTTAGTATGTTTACTGTTCTTCAGTGTGCTCTTAGAAGAAAGCCACAGATAATTTCCTTGGCCACAGTATGCATCTTTAATGACTCTTGTAAGTTTGCCTCATAAACACATCTCCAGGATCAGTTTGAATTGTCTGCTTAGAGTAAAGGTACACATTTCACAGACTACCACTTCATAAAAGATCTTTCCCCATCCACGGATATCACAAATGCCCAGGAATGTGATTACAGCTTCATTCTTTGAGACAGTACCAGACATTCCAAGTTATCTAAGGGCAGGACTATATAAAGCAATCTTCCTTGTAGATGTTTATTATGAAGGTACTTTTAAATAATTTTTAAAATCTAAAAATGTGCTACCATATACAATTAACTATTTTCATTTTTCTGAATACTTGTCTAGTAAACATATAACAGTGATGTTTAAATACTGCACTCTTTACCTTTCAGCTTCTTCCAGAACCTTTTTAAAGAGATACATTCTCCATTTTGACTTTTAAAAGTATTTCTTCAGACTATTTGCATTACTTTGTGTTTCTTTCTAATAATTTGCTTATGAAGCCAATTTTCTACAAATTGAATAAAAATTATTCATTTTTCTTATTCTGAAAAAAGAAATCATTAATGCAAATTAATTATGTACTGATCTTCTTAGATTCAAAATAGAAAAGAAAAATTCTCCATTGTTTAACAAAAAGGCTAGAGATAATTCACAAGTTCCTTTTGTTCTTTGCAGGCAGTGACTTTAGCAACAATTAGTGTGGAGCTGTTAGTGAATCTGAACAACTGTCTGATAAATGTATTTTTAATTGTCATTATGTATACAATGATCACATTAGGGGAATTCTTTCATAGTTCTTAAGAAATTGGCTTTGGTAGTTAAAATAAAACATGAAACACATCAGATTCAATAAATAAACCTATATCACATTGTCCATTATATTGTATCTTTTTGGATGCACAATGAATGACACTAAAGGTAGAAGAAGCAACCCAGTTGAATGGGTGAAACTCATAATGTAATTCCACATAACACAAGTAATGCACATTTAGCTATACATAAGAAAGTTCCTCTAGGAATTTCTATGCACTCTGACTATACTGTTTTCTTTATCCTTCCAAGTCTTTCCACAATTGCAGTAAATTTAGAGTATATTTGTAGGTCATTAAATTCATTTTTTGTAGAGTTATTTCATTGTTCCATATTACCTTTTCTAAAGATAGAGGCATTTGTTGTGTCTATCTTTCACATTTTTTGCAAAAGAATTTTAATATAGAATAAAATATAATAGAAAACAAAGACATGCAAACTTTTCTTGTTTATTTTTAACTACAAATTGCTATTTTTCTATTATTGTGTGGTATAATTCTGTATTTTATTTAATGGTTAGGACTTAATGGATGGAAGTCACAGGCTAATTGGAATATAAAGGTGATGAATGGTTTTGATGATAAGGTGAAAGTCAGGCCATAAACAGTATCTTTTTAATCATCACTATCTTCCCTGCAGATTATCCAATTTGGCATGTTGTATTCTCTAATAAAAAGGATATTGCAATAGGAGTCAAGAGACTATTTATTCTTCTGTCAATTTATTGTGAGATCTTACCTGTCTATATGCTCTATATGCACGTATTCTCAGGTTTAATGACCTCTTAACAAGAAAATAATAGCTCAATTCCTAAGGTGTCCTAAGAATTAAGCACCTCCAAAGTATGCCAGGTTCTTGGACATATGGTGAAATAAAAAAGGCCAAGTAACCCGTGTAAAAAGAATCAGTAGAAGCAATGTGTCATGCTGTGGATCTCCCTGTCCCTTATGTTGTAGGAGGAAAAGAAAATAGTTTTTTTTTTTTTAAACTAATACCATCCAATTAAACTGTTGAATCATCTGGAAGAGTACTTTGGGAGGTAGGAGATGACAGGTTGTCAGTGAAATATCAAAGTTAAATAATCACATGGATAATTTATCTTATACTCAATTGTTTGTCTTCTGGGACAACTGCTCTTCTGCCAGTGTATTTATGGTATGGCAACCGAAAATCTGGTTGCTACATTTGTGACTCTCTACACATTCTTGTTTTCCATTCATAAAATGGAGCTCTTTATTTATAGTAGAGATTCAATATCTGCTCAGTAAAAGAACACATGAATTATTTGAATCAATCAGTAGTTGGAATGCTTCATGACAGTGAGTGATGAACTTTTTTTTGCTCCAGCTTAATGAATATACCAGAAAGTCTTAAAATGGCCACTAATATTCAAGGTAATTTCCTTCCTTGTTTCTTTCCTTCCTTCATTCTCTCCCTGCTTTCCTCCCTTCTTTCCTCTCTTCCTTTATTCTTTTGTTTCTTTCCTTTTATCAAACCTCTTCAAAACTATTTCATCTTCAGAGCCTGGCAGAGATTTGTATGTCACAAGTTTCTAGGAAAATGAAGTTCATCTTCTATGTAAGGCATATGCCATCACCATGGTTAAACAAGGAAACAGGTATGCAAGTGAGACAAGATTTTTGAACTAATATGGCTGATGAAATGTTTCTTGGGAGCATAGAAACATCAGGTTATGAAACCTACTGACAAGGCACAAGAGAAATATTCTGCAGGAAAATTAGCAGAGTCTAAGAATTAGCTTTATGATACCATGATATTTCAGAGTAAAAATAGTTCAGCGCCAGTTTTTCAGCTTCATCTTAGCCATATTCTCTCATTCAATATTCCTCAGTTCATACCTTCCATTGAGTTATTCAAACTGACAGGTGTTCTCCAATCCAAGTTTTCCAGTATTTTGTACACCCTGATTATAAGGTTTATGCTTTACCTCACACACATTCATTTTGCAAGTTCAGCTTCAACATCATTTTTTTCAAAACATGAATTGCTAGTCCTCCTCATTGCTCCAAACCAATCTACATTAGTTCTCAATATTTTTATAGTATCATATACATATTTATAAAATACCATAATTATAATTACATATTAATTTTTGCAACCTATCTCTACACTATCTTGTAAAATCCACAAAGGCAGGAACCATATCTATTTTGTTCATTCCCATATCCTCAGTACCTGGCAAAAATTTTCTCACGTTGGAGATTGTCTATACATTTATAGGGAAGGAAGAGAAGAAGGGAGGAAATTCCTCATATCACCATATAAACATTCTAAAATAAGTTATATATTTGTCATCGAGTACAGAAAAATAAAGAAAAAATTTGGCTTTAATGTAACCACAGATTATATGGTAAAAACATTTGTGAAACATATGGATCATTTACATAATTAAATAATTGTTATAGTTTCAAGTAAAATTTAGTAATTCCAAGAAAAGAGATGACAAATGCACACTTAAGAGTTGTTCTTAGCTTTCACTCGTAGATGCACATTATTTTTTGCTTTTAAAAACAGTTCCCTCAAGGATCCCACAAAAAATGGTGATATTCATACATACAGATTGAACAGAAGATATTTTATTCTTTCTATATTGCTGAGTCAAGAGAACTGGGCTCTAGTTCTAATGCTGTCTTCCATGGCTATGTGACTTTGGGCAGGAAAAGTTTACATCCACATCAGTTCTTCCAACAGTATTATAGAATGGCTGAGCTCCTAAGCTTTCAGTTCTACATATTTTTCTTTTTGAAGTTTGTGGTAATGACCCTTTGATATTCTAAAAGACACAGTGAAGCATCACAACTTCCTCTACAGCTTATCGTTGCAAATCCATCTCCATGGATAAAACTGGGGGGTACACTCACATTTTAAGATGCTATTACAATAGAACCTTGAGAGAGTCAAAGGAGAATTTAGGATCTCCTAATTTATTCCCTTATCTCAGGTGAGGAAATTTAAATCAAAGAAGGTGCATACTTGGCTTCATACACTGAAGGCACAGCAAGCCTGAGACTGGGACATAGGGACATTGACTTCCTTTTCAATGTGATGCTCCATACACAGCCCTACCTGCTATAAATGACGATGCTCTATTTTTCGCTGTGGACACTTAATTTCTTAAGGTAAAATGAATTTTAGTCTTTTAAAGTCATATGAGTAGAAGGAATTACTATGAAATATCTTTGAAGGGTGAAAAAGAGCATAATGAGTATGTAAAATGATATTGAAATTAGTAGTAATTATGAAATGCACCCAAATCTATTATACTCGTCACAAAAATTAATTACATAAAGTTGATTAGGTTAAAAGCATAAGTATGTAATTTGTGGATTTAACACTTTTACATTAATCACATGGAATATTAACTACCCATTTATATATTTCTATTTCCATAAGTTGCATATATATGATACATCTAATTATATTTACTGAAACAATTAAATTCTCCTTTTTACCTAAATTACACATATTTAAATGCTACTATAAAAAGGATATTTCTTTTTCATTAGCTTGACTTCCTGAGGTTATTTTGGTCGTGTTTTGAATTTCATTATCATTATACTTTACATATTTATAATGTATTAATGGTTGCTTTCAGTTTCATTAAACTTCATTATATAATTCAAAATTTTAAGTATTATAACTTACAATACTACATAAGTGTTTTCTGTGAAATACCTCATAATGCTTTCCTATTTATTGCCTTACATTCTTCATCTGTCCCTGTCTTAGCCAAGCAAATAATGTTCTCTATTCTGAATACATTTGAATAAAACAACTCATTAAAATGCGTCTGAATGCTTGAATTTAATGAGCATTATTAGTCTTTATAATATTCCTAAAAATAATAAAAACAGTCCTCAGAAACTAAAGTGCTGTGGCCTACTTTCAAAGCAACATTAAGTTAGATTCCCATTCTATAAAGCCTGCAGAAATTTTTCTATTTTTCTCCTTAAAAATAAAAGCAGTTTGGATTGATTTGAAAGAATGAATTATCCACTTTCTTGTAAATCGTGCTCCCTGGTGACTGTTCATTGGGAAGTTTGTTATAAACGGGTCAGTAATATGAGGCCCCTACACAAAAGAAAGCAGGGATACCAGTTTTACCCCTGTCCACACGGAAGTCAAATTTTATCTCAACACTTCAGTGTAAAATGCAGGATTTTTCAGAACATAGTTCAAATCACCATTTCTGGGGAAACCATTTTTGACAGATTTCATAGGTCTTTGCTAATTCTGTGTAGCTGTGGTTCCCAGACTTGAGGTTCTCTTTCCAGGTGGTTCTGTTTCTGCACAGGGGGTTGACTTGTGAGGGTTCTCATTGAAGTTTTGTCAGCCTACATGTAGGAAGAATTTTTTTGACTCTTTTCAAAAAGAAGATAAAAATAACATGCAGAAAATTTGAGAAATTCCAATAAGGTAATCAGAAAGATTATTCTTTCATCTGAATGCTCTTACCTTTAATATAACAAAATGTCATAAAAATATCATACAGACAGCTATCTGAAAATGAGATTGGCCATTCTCTAAAATTGCAAAAGCTATTATATCCAAATGAAATACATAATAGTCAGGATTTTTTGTAAATCTATTCTATATATCCTGCATTTTCAAGCTGTGATGCCACAATGGTTGGGAAGTGGGATGTTCCTCTTGCCTATAGGCACTAATAAAAAATGACTACTATTTACTCAACACATAGTATACATTACCTTAAATGAAAATTGTGTTAATTGAAATATTATTTTTAAATTATTGCAACCAAATATTATTATCATCAATTTACAAACTTAAAAAATTGAGCCTCAGGAATGTTAAATGACTTACCTAAATTCACATTGTTTGTAAATGGTAATGCTGGGATAAATTCATTCGTTTTAATGTTCATTGAATGCATACTCTGAATCAGGCAATGTAGTACACACAGGCTGTATGGTGGTTAAGATATGACAAGGTTCCTACTGTCATGACAGTTACATTGTAATGGGAGAGAGTGACAATAAATATGTCAAAAAGCAATTTGATTAAATGTAAGAAAAATGAATATGAATTTCATTCATTGTAAACAGCTGTAAAGAAAATAAAACATGGAAATGGGAAAAGAGTTCCTGGATGTAAGTTAGAAAAGGTTATTAAGGAAAGTCTATTGAGGAGTGAATGCTTGAGCTGAGACAAATAATGAGAAGGCTGAGAGCAGATGAAAATATAAGAAGAGTTTTTCAGGCAGAAGAAAAGCCTGAAAAACTTTCCTGAGGCAAAAGTGAGCTTCATGGGTTTGAGAGACAGGAAGAAGGTACACTTGGAGCTTAGTGAACAAGGGAGAGATACTCAGCAAGAGCTGTAAAGTCAATGTGTTTCTACATGATCAACTGAATTTGAAAACCTAGGAGTATTGCTTAAACTAACAAAATGCTGTTGCTAGTCATATGTAAAGGTGCTACTGCTGAGTTGGATAGGCATTCTTAATTACTTTTGCAGTAGAGGGATAAGCACAGCCTGCTGCCACAACACACATACTTTAGCTGACTCTGGAACACTTTCCTTTGTGTAAAGCTCACTGTGCCTGCCATTAAAATAAACTGATCCAGAGAAAAGTCAATGTTTCATCCACCAAAGCACATGACAATGGATATTTTTATTAAAGGAAGAATGGCCAAACTCTCCAAATATGTCACTTTTAAGAATTAAAAAACAGTATTAGTAGTTATATTGGGACAAGAGGTGAACAATGTGGATTGTCCCAGGCAAAACAGGTTGTGAGAGCACCCTAAGGGAACATATGTTGAAAGTTGTTGGGAAGAAAATACATACCTTTGGCCAGGGTGGTGGCTCATATCTGTAATCCCAGCTACTGGGGAGGCTGAGGCTGGGGGATCCTCTGAGCCCAGGTGTTCAAGGTTACAGTGAGCTATGATGTCATCACTGTACTCCAGCCTGAGTGACAAAGCAAGGCCCTGCCTTTAAAATGGAACAGCAAAAGCCACAAAACAAAAACATCTCAGAGTAACAAAGATGTCATGCTGTTTAATTTTTATTCAAAAATACTATCTCTTATCTACTAAACTCGTTCTCTTTATAATAAAAGCTTGAACAAAAATCATTAACTGTGTCTGAAGAACTTGTACAAGGAAAACCTCAATGAAAGTGAATACAGAGTCATAATGGTGCTTAAAATCTATCCTACCGTGCTTTAACCCTGGCCATTATCTTTCACCTAAATTCTGCTAAATGTGTCCTGAATACTTCCACTTTTCTCACTCATCCCTCCCCTATCCAGTCTCTCACACTGTCGGTAGCCCAGTGCTGTTTCTCAAAAATTTGCTCATAGCATTTCTTGGTTTGAAATGCTTCAAGAATTCCCCCAATACTTCATTTTTCTCATTTTTTTTTACTGTTTATTCAAGTTGATTTATTGATAACATTTTATCCTATTTGCTTCTCTCTCTTTCTCCCTCCCATTTTCCCCTCTCCTCCCCCTCTTTCCCTCTGTCTCTCTCTCTCTCTCCTGTTACACACACAACTGTTTTTCAGAACAATGTAAGGGGAAGTTACATACATTATGGCTCTTTATCCATACTTTTGTGTATATTTCTTTCATTTTTCCATCTTCCATCTCCTGATACTTTCTACAGCCAAACTTACACCTCTCCTCTCTCCACCTACAAACACACATACATCCCTACACTGTAGTCTTGCTATGTGAACCAATAGTAGTGGCATCATCCAAAATTTATTAGAGAAGCAGAATCCAGGGCACAATGCCAATAATCTTGTTGGATACAAGACTTTCAGGAAATTGACACCTCTGTGGTATTTAACATTTTCATTCAAGTTCATAGAATAGCTCTCTGTTTATTCAGGCCACTTTTGCATATGTCTGGTATCTTATATAATTTTGTGACTAAAGTTCTTCAACAAATATTGTTAGACTTATCCTTAGATATTGTTCTTCAACATATATTGTAGATTTATTCCTAGATATTGTGAAATATGTCATTTTTTAAAATAGAACCTCTTTTATTGCTTTTTATAATTGTTGCTATTCTATAAGACTATTATTGATATTTTAAATACTGAGTTTAGGTCAGAATTCAGTAGGATTCTGCAAATAAGAATCTGCATTAAAAAAAAATCCTCAAGGTTTGAGAAAGCCTGGTAGAAGTTTTAAAGCTCCCCAGGTGATTCTAATGGTCAGCCAAGTTTAAGAAATGCTGCTTCAGGAATATTTGACTCTTACTTAATTGAATTCTTGATTTTTCTTACATTAGGTATTTCATACCTGACATTTCTTCTGCCTGAACCCTCTTTCCCTGTGGCTCTTTAAGGACCCCTTCATGTTGCTGACTCAATCCATCCTCCAGATAGGAGATTCTACTAGGATGCTGTTCTTTTTTTTTAACTTTTAGGTTCAGGGGTACATGTGCATGTTTGTTGTTTTGGTAAATTGCATATTGCTGGTGTTTGGTGTACAGATTATTTCATCACCAAGGTAATAAACACAGTACCCAATATGTAGTTTTTTGATCCTCATCCTTCTCCTCTCACTTACCAGTAAGTACATGTGGTATTTGGTTTTCTGTTCCTGTGTTGGTTTGTGTAGGATAATGGCCTCCAGCTCCATCCATGTTGCTGCACACAACATGATCTCCTCCTTTTTGATGGTTGCATAGTATTCTATGGTGTATATGTACCACATTTTCTTTATTTGGCCTACTGTTGATGGATATTTAGGTTGATTCTGTGTCTTTGCTATTGTGAATAGTGCTACAATGAACATATGTGTGCATGTGTCTTTATGGTAGAATGATTTATGTTCCTTTGGGTATATAACCAGTAATGGGATTGCTGGGTTGAATTGTGATTCTGTTTTTTTTTTCTTTTTGGGGGGGTGTGGGGATGGAGTCTCACTCTCACCCAGCTGGAGTGCAGTGGCACGACCTCAGCTCATCACAACCTCTGCCTCCGGGTTTCAAGTGATTCTCCTGCCTCAGCCTCCCGAGTAGCTGGGATTACAGGCTCCTGCCACCACACCTGGCTAATTTTTGTATTTTTAGTAGAGACAATTTCACCATGTTGGCCAGGCTGGTCTCGAACTCCTGACCTCAGGTGATCCACCCGCCCTGGCATCCCAAAGGGCTGGGATTACAGGCGTGAGTCACCGTGTCCAGCCCGTGATTCTGTTTTAAGTTCTTTCAGAAATCACCAAACTGTTTTCCACAATGGCTGAACTAATTTACATTCCCACCGGTAGCATATAAATGTTTTCTTTCTCCACAACTTCTCCAGCATCTGTTATTTTTTGACTTTTTGCTAATAGCCATTCTGACTGGTGTAAGATGGTATTTCATTGTGGTTTGATTTTCATTTCTCTAATGATTTGTGATTTTCAACGTTTGTTTTCATATGCTTGTTGGCCACGTGTATGTCCTCTTTTGAAAAATGTCTTTTCATGTCTGTTGCCCACTTTTTAATGGGGTTATTTGTTTCTTGCTTGTAAATTTTTTTTAAGTTTCTTATAGCTTCTGGGCACTAGACCTCCATCAAATGCATAGTTTGCAAATATTTTCTCTCATTCTGTAGATTGTCTGTTCACTCCAACGATAGTTTATTTTGCTGTGCAGAATCTCTTTAATTAGGTTCCATTTGTCAATTTTTGTTTTGGTTGCAGTTGCTTCTGGTGACTTTATCATGAAATCTTTGCCAGCTCCTATGTCCAGAATGGTATTTCCTAAGTTTTCTTCCAGAGTTTGTAGTTTTAGATTTTACATTTAAGGCTTTAATCCATCTTGAGGTGATTTTTGTATGTGGTGTAAGGAACGGGTGCAGCTTCAATCTTCTGCATATGGCTAGCCAGTAATCCCAGCATTATTTATTGAATAGGGAGTCTTTTCCTCATTGATTGATTTTGTCAGCTTTGTCAAAGAGCAGATGGTTGTGTGTGTGCGGAATTATTTCTGGGCTCCTCATTCTGTTCCACTGGTCTAGGTGTCTGTTTTGGTACCAGTAACATAATTGTGTAGATTATTTCAGGCTTGACTACTGTTAGTTTTCCTATTAGTCTGTATTTTCTGTATTGTAACTGTCATTACAATTGATTGTAATGATTGCTTTTTAATTTTTACTATGTATTCTTTATTTTTAATTATGAATTGAATAAAAATTAAAATAATTCACCAGAAACCCATGATTTATTTAATATTTAATACATAAAGGTTTTCGTTTGTTATATTTCCTTCATCTCTTTTGTTTCATTTTATCGTTTTCTTTTCCCTAGAATTCATGGCAGCTAAAATTGTTTTGCTTTTAAAACAACGTATAGCTGAAGCATTTTTCTCTCAACCCATTATTTTCCCTTCATCCTTTCACAAAGATAACTACTATTCAGATATTAGTTTTTCCCTTCATCTGCATGCATTTTTAATGTTTATGTTAAATGATACACAGCATTGATTTTTAGATTTATGTAATGTTTACTGCCTGTGTCATTTGCTTGTCATTTCAGTTGATATAATATTAATAATATTTATCTATATTTAGATAAAGCATGTAGGTTTGTTCCATTAAAACTGCTATATAGGAATCCATTGTAGAAATGTACCATAATTTAGCCATTTGTTTACTGATGGGCATCTTTATTATCTGTTTGTACATGCAATTCCACAATGAGATTCTTTGAAAATGTTTGTACTTGTGTGTAGGCATTTTCTGTAGTAAATACACAAAAGGGGAGTCTCTATGGAATTCCTGCATCTTCAGTTTTCCTAAAAAGTATAAGAAGTTGCTCATCAAAAAGCTTGTAGGTATTAAAAGTACCATATGAAAGCATTTCCCCACATTCTTGCCAATATTACTATTATTAAACTTAAAGTTTCTGCATATTTATGAATTTCAATGTATATTTCATTGTCGAATTGATTTGTAGTAGCCTGATTACTTGCAAGGCTGGACATTTTTAATATGCAATGCCCATTCAGTTTTCATTTTTGTATAATTTGCCTGTTCAAATCCTTTGCTCCTTTTTCCATTAGTCTACTTATATCTTACTGATTTGATACATTTGTATATTTTTCATAACTAAATCTTTGTGATGGTAGGAATAGAAAATAATTTTTTATATATGTGGCTTATCTTTAAAAATATTTTTGTTTGTTGGTTTTTGTCACAGAGAAGTTATAGTTTTGATGTTGCAAATTTATAAATTTTCTTCTTTGTGGATTCTAGTTTTTGTACCTTATTAAAATATTTTTACATTCCAAAAATACAAAGGTAATTTTATGTACATTCTTATTCATATGAATAAGAATTGAAACATACTTTTCACATTTGGTCTTCAATAATTCATACAAAGTATTGAAACATACTTTTCACATTTTGGTCTGAATCCATTAGGAAATATTTTTGTTTATTTTTTGAGACAAAACTCACCTCTATATTTTCTTACATTTATGGAGAGTTAATTTTACCAATTCTATTTACTAAATTATCAATTATTTCCTTCACTATATTTAGTGTTATCTCAATCCTCTGCCAAGTTTCCTATGTAAATATTGGCATGTTTCCACGATTTGACATTTTATTTCATTGGGTTACTTGCTATGCTTGTGCCTATATATATACATATATGTGTGTGTGTGTGTGTGTGTGTGTGTGTGCGTGTGTGTAGGATGTATCTCTGCTTTCCTCTCACTTCCTTCCATCTTGCATAACCCATCTCTTCTTCAAATTTATCCTGCAAGTTTGGGTATTTTAGATTATTTTATGTAAATCTTAGACTCATTTTTCATAATAAACCCTGTTCAATACTTGACTTTTAAGAAATTAACAATTTTATGATAGTTATACTTTTTGTACAAGATCATGGGACAGCCTTCTATTTATTTGGGTCATTTTTGCACCTTTCACATGTATTTTATGTGATTAAATTTCTTGAACACATTTTGTCAGCTACTGTAAAGTGTTGTTGCTTTTGAAAATGGGATCTCTTTTTATTACATTTTAGAGTAAGCAGCTACTGTGTAGAAATACTATTGGTATTGGTATGGTAATCTTATAACCAATCCCCTCACCAGATTCTTTTTAGTTCTAAAAGTTTTCACTAGGTTCAATTGATTATCTGCACAAAATAAAAATTTTATTGTTTCCTTTTTATTTCTTATAATTGTAATTTAACCTTTGTGTTAACAAGGACATACAACATAATTTTGAATAGATAGGATGATAGCATGCACCTGGCTTCATTATCGTCTTGAGAGAGTGCTCCTAAACTTTACAGTGAAATATGAATTTTGTTGTAGCGTTTTAGTAGATTATCTTCATATAGTAAGGAAAATTTCATTTATATCTAAATTTCTAAGATGTTTAAAATCACAAGTGGGAGTCACATTTTATCAAGTGTTTATATTGCATTGATTGGAATAATCATATTATGTTCTCTCCTCCATCACTGAATGTGGTTAGAGTCAGTTACAGATTTTCTTCTCAAAATTTTACATTTAATAATAAAATATTTAAAATATTCAGAAAACACCAAAATAATATAATAATAATATTAACAGATGGCAGTATTTTGCCATCTTTGCATCATTATGCTTTTCGTTTTGTAGAAAAACTATGTCTTATAGATACGTCTTAAGCATCTTTTTCTCTCCCCACTTCTCCCGTTCTGAATTTGTGGTGCATCAATTACCAGTGTATTTTATAGTTTCACTTCATGTGTATGTATCCATAAACAATATATTCATTTACATAAACCATATACTTTGCCCTGTTTTGACTTATCTTTTCTCTCTCGATATTCTGTTTTATCCACATTTATATATATATATATATACATACACACATACACTCACTTTTTTCTTTGATTGTTTTATTCTGTATTATTCCATCATGTGTTTAAGCCACTCTTTATTTTCTTTCTGATAACAGTTGAATTATTCTATTTTTCTCCTATTATAAGCAGTACTGCAATAAATAACCTAGCGTAAGTTACCTTATTCACATATGTGAAGTTCTTTTCAAGGATATATCTCTAGATACAGAATTTCCATCATGGAATATAGGCATCTTCAATTTTAACAAGTACTAACTTTATGCTCTCTGAAGTGGGTATCCCAGTTTTCAGTATTACCACCATTCCATAGCAGCTCTATTTCATCATGTTTATGGCAGTGCCTGTTGCCAACAGATTTAAATTTTGCCAATTTAATGTCTGGGAAATATTATCTCCTTTTCATTTGGATTTCTCTGGTTTCTGTGTAGTGAGGCTTTGTGCTACAAACCCATAGAAGGACTAACTTTTGGTTTTAAATGGTAGAGAGATTTTTTCTTTCTCTCTAGGCAAACAGAGATAGACTTTTTTTTAAAAGTTCCCTTCTGAGTGTTTGTCCCATTCCTAGCTTACACTTAGTCTGATGGCATAGCCTTTGGGGACACAGTTGTAAGCTGGGTCACCTTTGAGGCTCACTATCTTGGCTTTCTCCAGCCTGCATATCACATGAGTTCAGCAAAAGTCACCAGGGTCCAGAAGATAGCCCAAAATAGGAGCCCCATTAGGAGAACAGCTGCCTTTTTGATTTCCCGCTCTCACTCTGATTTGGGCTTTTGAACATTTCTTAATTTATGTTTATCTTCATTCAATATGATATTTGAAATATTTTTTAAAAAATTATTTGGCATTTTTATTGTTTTCAGTTGGCCGTTGGAACTAATGGAACTAATTATTTTTTGCCTTTCTTACTAAACTGTAATCTCTGCCAAGAAAGAATCTATATCTGCATTATTTGTTATTCTGTCTAGCACCCAACACTTTTCCTGGCATATTATAATCAATAATCATTTGGTGAAAAATATTAAATCAATGGATGAGTAATTGTAGCATGGGAAAAAATAAAATCTGAAATTATTTGTGATGGCTAATACTGAGTGTCAACTTGATTGAATTGAAGGATACAAAGTATTGATCCTGGGTGTGTCTGTGAGGGTGTTGCCAAAGACTAACATTTGAATCAGTGGGCTGGGAAAGGCAGACCCACTCTTAGTCTGAGTGGGCAACATCTAATCAGCTGCCAGCATGGCTAGAATATAAAACAGGCAGAAAAATGTGAAAAGACCAGACTGGCCTAGCCTCCCAGCCTACATCTATCTCCTGTGCTGGATGCTTCCTGTCCTCAAATATCAGACTCCAAGTTCTTCAGTTTTGGAACTCAGACTCGCTCTCCTTGGTCCTCAGCTTGCAGATGGCCTGTTGTGGGACTTTATGATCATATGAGTTAATACTTAATAAATTCCCATTTATATACATATACATATATCCATTCCATTGATTCTGTCCCTCTACAGAACCCTGACTAATACAGATTTTGGTACCGGGAGTGGTTCTAGAGGAACAGAATATTAAGGATGGAGTTCTTTCGTTGGTTTTGGGGTTTCTGGAGTTGGCTGCTTAATATGATTAGGCCCCAAAATGGTAAGAACTCTACTTCAAATAGTATAGAGAACACTGATAGTCTTTGGCATGAACTGTTTAGAGACTTATGCAAAATAAATGTATTTAACACTTCTGATTCACCACTCATGAGAGGCAAGGAGTTCGTGACTCTATATGTAATACCTTTGAGCATATGCGGAGAACCAAGGAACATAATGAAGTTACTTGGTTGCTCCTAAGTTCAGTGGACAAAGTGATGAAAGAAAATGATGAACTCAGGGATTCTGTCTCCTGGCTTCAGCTGCAGCTACTGAGCCTCAAATCTGCTAAGATTGCCCTGAGTGAGAGTCTTATCTCCTGTAGAGAAAAAGCTGAAATTGCAGAAAAATAGACACAAGCTCTTATCATGCGAGTGGCTGATCTGTAAAGAAAGGTGCATGCACAGCCTCGCCAGGTGTCTACTGTTAAAGTGAGGGCATTGACTGTAAAAGAATGGAACCCTGCAACTTGAAATAGGTATGCGTGGAGGACCCGGATAACACTGGGGACACTGAGTTTATAAACTCTGATGAAACTTTTTTCCCAGAAGAAACAACTTCCCCATCCCAGCAGTGGCAACATCCCCTCCCCGATCCATGCTGCCATCAGCCTTTCCACCCTTCTCTGAGGAGATAAACCCTGCACTGCCTGAGGCAATGGTGATGGCCTCCCCTGAGGCAGTTGCCAGGCAAGATAATGTTGATTCTCCTCAGGAGCCACCCCCAGCACCCCTGTTTGCTTCTAGACCTACAACTAGACTAAAGTCCTGGTGGGCCCCTAGAGGGGAGGTTGAGTGTGTAACCCACGAGGACGTATGCTACACTTGAAAAGAACTGCTTGAGTTTTCTAATTTACATAAACAGAAATCTGTGGAACAGGCATAGGAATGGATATTAAGGGTGTGGGATAATGGTGGAAGGAACATAGAGTTAGATCAGGCTGAATTTATTGATCTGGGCCCACTAAGTAGGAAGGGACTCTGCATTTAATGTTGCAGCTCAGGGAGTTACAAAAGGTTCTAATAGTTTATTTGCTTGGTTAGCTGAAATATAGATTAAAAGATGGCCCACTGTGAGCAAGCTGGAAATGCCTGATCTCCCTTAGTTTAATGTAGAGGAAGGGATCCAAAGGCTTAGGGAGACTGGGATGGTGGCATGGATTAGTCATTTTAGACCTACTCATCCCAGGTTGGAGAGTCCAGAAGATATACCCTTGACCAATGCCTTGCAAAATAGATTTGTGAGGGCAGCACCTGCATCTTTGAAGAGGCCTGTAATTGCTTCTCTCCGTATGTCAGATCTAACAGTGGGAACCAGAGTCACTCAACTACAAAATTTAAATACAGTTGGAATAATTAGATCCTGAAGGAGCAGAGGCCAAGTGGTGGCACTCAACCCTCAAAGGCAAGGTGGGCATAGCTATCATAATGGAAAGCAGAGGCAAAGCAGCAATCAGAATAGTCTGACTCCTGTAGAACTCTGGCATTGGCTAATTAATCATGGTGTTCCTAGAAGTGAAATTGATAGTACACCTACAGCATTCCTACTTAATTTATATAAGCAGAATACTTCTAGGTCGAATGGACAAAAGACTAATTTGAACTATAAAAACAGAGAATCATGGCCCCTCAATCAATTTCCAGACTTGAGCCAGTTTACAGACCCAGAACCCCTTGAATGAAGGGGAGGCCTTTTCCCCTTGGGGAATGACCCCCACTGCGCTACCGACAATTTATGCTGTTAATCTTTTTCCCATCTTTCCCCAAGGAGACCTCTGGCCTTTTACCTGGTACTTTGCACTGGGGAAAGGGAAATGATCAGATATTTGGGGGATTACTGGACAGTGGCTCTGAGCTGATGTTGATTCCAGGGGACCCAAAATGTCACTGTGGTCCTCCAGTTAAAGTCGGAACTTATGAAGGTCAGGAAGTTAATGAAATTTTAGCTCAGGTTTGACTTACAGTGGGTCCAGTAGGTCCCCAGGCTCATCCTGTGGTCGTTTCCCCAGTGCTAGAATGCATAATTGGCATAGACATACTTACCAGCTGGCAGAACTCCCACACTGGCTCCCTGACTGGTTAGGTGAGGGCTATTATGATGGGAAAGGCCAAATGGAAGCCATTAGAGCTGCCTCTATCTAGAAAAATAGTAAATGAAAAATAATGTCTCATCCCTGGAGGGACTGCAGGGATTACTACCACCATCAAGGACTTGAAAGTCACAGGGGTGGTGGTTCCCACCACATCCCCATTCAACTCTCCCATTTGGCCTGTGCAGAAGATTTGGCCTTGAAGAATGGCAGCAGATTGTCATAAGCTTAACCAAGTGGTGACTTCAGTTGCAGCTGCTGTACCAGATGTGGTTTCATTGCTTGAGAAAATTAACACATCTCCTCGTACCTGGTATGCAGTCCTTGACTTGGCAAATGCCTTTTTCTCCATTCCTGTTCATAAGGCTCACCAGAAGCAATTTGCCTTCAGCTGGCAAAGCCAGCAATTATCTTTACTGTCCTACCTCAAGGGTATATGAACTCTCTGACTTTGTGTCATAATCTTATTTGGAGAGAACTTGATTGCTTTTTGTTTCTGCAAGATATCACACTGGTCCATTACATTGATGACATTATGCTAATTGGATTCAGTGAACAAAAAGTAGCAAATATGCTGGACTTATTGGTGAGACATTTGCGTGCCAGAGGATGGGAAATAAATCCGAGGATGGGAAATAAATCCGACTAAAATTCAGGGATGTTCTGCTTCAGTAAAATTTCTAGGGGTCCAGTGGTGTGGGGCCTGCTGAGACATTCCTTCTAAGGTGCAGGATAAGTTGCTGCATTTGGCCCCTCCTACAACCAAGAAAGAAGCACAATGCCTAGTGGGCCTATTTGGATTTTGGAGGCAACACATTCCCCATTTGGGTGTGTTACTCTGGCTCATTTATTGAATGACTCAAAAGGCTGGCAGTTTTGAGTAGGGTCCAGAACAGAAGGCTCTGCAACAGGTCCAGGCTGCTGTGCAAGCTGCTCTGCAACAGATCCAATGGTGCTTGAGGTGTCAGTGGCAGATAGGGATGCTGTTTGGAGCCTTTGGCAGGCCCTCATCAGTGAATCACAGCAGAGGCCTCAAGAATTTTGGAGCAAGGCCCTGCCATCTTCTGTGGATAACTACTTTCCCTTTGAGAGACAGCTCTTGGCCTGTTACTGGGGTTTGGTGGAAACTGAACGTTTAACTATGGGTCATCAAGTCACCATGTGACCTGAACTGCCTATCATGAACCGGGTGCTTTCTGATCCATCTAGCCATAAAGTGAGGTGTGCACAGCAACATTCCATGATCACATGGAAGTGGTATATATGTGACTGGGCTCAAGCAGGTGCTGAAAGCACAAGTAAATTACATGAGGAGGTGGCTCAAATGCCCATGTAAGTTACATGAGGAAGTGGCTCAAATGGAAGTGACTCCACCCCTGCCACCCCAGCCTGCACTGATGGCCTCATGGGGAATTCCCTATGATAAGTTGACAGAGGAAGAGAAGACTAGGCCCTGGTTCACAGAGGGTTCTGCACGATATGCAGGCACCACCCGAAAGTGGACAGCTGCAGTACTACAGCCCTTTTCTAGGACACCCCTGAAGGACAGCTGTGAAGGAAAATCTCCCCAGTAGGCAGAAATTCAATCAATGCACCTGGTCGTGCACGTTGCATGGAAGGAAAAATGGTCAGATTTACAATTATATACTGATTCATTTGCTGTAGCCAATGGTTTGGCTGGGAAGTCAAGGACTTGGAAGAAGCATGATTGGAAAATTGGTGACAAAGAAATGTGGGGAAGAGGTATGTGGATGGACCTCTTTGACTGGTCAAAAACTGTAAAGATACTTGTATCCCATGTGAGTGCTTACCAGTGGGTGACCTCAGAAGAGGATTTTAATAATGAAGTGGAGAGGATGACTCGTTCTGTGGACACGACTCAGCCTGTTTCCCCAGCCACCCCGTCATCGCCCAATGGGCCCATGAACAAAGTGGCCATGGTGGCAGGGATGGAGGTTACTCGTGGGCTCAGCAACATGGATTTCCACTCACCAAGGCTGACCTGGCTATGGCCACTGCTGAGTGCCCAATTTGCCAGCAGCAGAAACGAACATTGAACCCTTGATATGGCACCATTCTTTGGGGTGATCAGGCAGCTACCTAGTGGCAGGTAGATTATATTGGACCTTTTCCATCATGGAAAGGGCAGAGGTTTCTCCTCACTGGAATAGACACTTACTCCAGATATGAGTTTGCCTATCCTACACGTAATGCTTCTGCCAAGACTACCATTTGTGGACTCACAGTATGCCTCATCCACCATCATGGTATACCACACAGCATTGCCTCTGACCAAGGCACTGACTTTACAGCTAAAAAAGTGCAGCAGTGGGCTCATGCTCTTGGAATTCACTGGCCTTACCATGTTCCCCATCATACTGAAGCAGCTGGAATGGTAGAACACTAGAATGGCCTTTTGAAGTCACAGTTACAATGCCAACTAGGTGACAATACTTTGCAGGACTGGGGCAAACTTCTCCAGAAGATCGTATATGCACTAAATCAGCATCGAATATATGGTACTGTTTTTCCGATAGCCAGGGTTCACAGGTCCAGGAATCAAGGGGTGGAAGTAGAAGTGGCAGCACTCACCATCACCCCTAGTGGTGCATTAGCAAATTTTTTGCTTCCTGTCCCTGTGAAATTATGTTCTGCTGGCCTAGAGGTCTTAGTTCCAGAGGGAGGAATGCTGCCACCAGTAAACACGTTACCATTAAACTAGAAGTTAAGATTGCCACCTGGACACTTTGGGCTCCTCATACCTTTAAGTCAACAGGCTAAGAAGGGAGATACAGTGTTGGCTAGGGGGATTGAATAGGACTATCAAGATGAAATCAGTCTACTACTCCACAACAGAGGTAAGGAAGATTATACATGGAATACAGAGATCCATCTGGGTGTCTCTTAGTATTACCATGCCCTGTGATTAAGATCAATGGGAAACTACAACAACCCAACCCAGGCAGGACTACAAATTGCCCAGACCCTTCAGCAATGAAGATTTCGGTCTCTCCACCAGGAAAAATACCACAACCTGCTGAGGTGCTTGCTGAAGGCAAAGGGAATACAGAATGGGTAGTAGAAGAAGGTAGTCATCAATACCAGCTATGACCACATGACCTGCTGCAGAAACAAGGACTGTAATTGTCATGAGTATTTCCTCCCTCTTTTGTTAGAAATATGTTTGTGCATGTATACACTTGAACTAAGAAAATAAGTTCATTTTATTTCCTTTTTCCTTTATCAGGTAACCTAAGATTTATTGACTTCACATCAGCATTTAACTTTATGTAATCATATTTGGGTTGGGAATTGGTGTGTTTCCGTTTGTACGAAGGATAGTTGTATTATGTTAAGCGTAATTATGACCTTATAATTTTCTTTATTTAAAGATTATGTATGATCTCAGGAGATGTGTATGGATTCAAGTTGACAAAGGGTGGACTTGTGATGGTTAATACTGAGTGTCAACTTGATTGGATTGAAGGATGCAAAGTATTGATCTTGGGTGTGTCTGTGAGGGTGTTGCCAAAGGAGATTAACATTTGAATCAGTGGGCTGGGAAAGGCAGACCCACTCTTAGTCTGAGTGGGCACCATCTAATAAGCTGCTAGCGTAGCTAGAATATAAAGCAGGCAGAAAAATGTGAAGAAATTAGACTGGCCTAGCCTCCCAGCCCACATCTTTCTCCTGTGCTGGATGCTTCCTGCCCCCGAACATCAGAGTCTAAGTTCTTCAGTTTTTGGATTAAGACTGGCTCTCTTTGGCCCTCAGCTTGCAGACAGCCTATCATGGGATGTTGTGATCATGTGAGTTAATATTTAATAAACTTTGCTATACATATCTCCTATCAGGTCTGTCCCTCTAGAGAACCCTAACTAATACATTATTCGACAATAAATATTAGACAGCTAGATTTATCTGAAACAAAAGTACTTTCCAATAGAAAATTGAGAGGGTTTAGGTCAATAATTCCTATTACTTCTTGATAATTTAGTTTTCCTTTTTTTTTAAATTTTATTATTATTATACTTTAAGTTTAGGGTACATGTGCACAATGTGCACGTTTGTTACATATGTATATAAGTGCCATGTTGGTGTGCTGCACCCATTAACTTGTCATTTAACATTAGGTATATCTCCTAATGCTATCCCTTCCCCCTCCCCCAATCCCGCAACTGTCCCTGGAGTGTGATGTTCCCCTGCCTGTGTCCATGTGTTCTCATTGTTCAATTCCCACCTATGAGTGAGAACACGTGGTGTTTGGTTTTTTGTCCTTGCGATAGTTTGCTGAGAATGATGGTTTCCAGTTTCATCCATGTCCCTACAAAGGACATGAACTCATCATTTTTTATGGCTGCATAGTATTCCATGGTGTATATGTGCCACATTTTCTTAATCCAGTCTATCATTGTTGGACATTTGGGTTGGTTCCAAGTCTTTGCTATTGCAAATAGTGCCACAATAAACATACATGTGCATGTGTCTTTATAGCAGCATGATTTATAATCCTTTGGGTATATACCCGGTAATGGGATGGCTGGGTCAAATGGTATTTCTAGTTCTAGATCCTTGAGGAATCCCCACACTGACTTCCACAATGGTTGAACTAGTTTATAGTCCCACCAACAGTGTAAAAGTGTTCCTATTTCTCCACATCCTCTCCAGCACCTGTTGTTTCCTGACTTTTGAATGATCACCATTCTAACTGGTGTAAGATGGTATCTCATTGTGGTTTTAATTTGCATTTCTCTGATGGCCAGTGATGATGAGCATTTTCTCATGTGTTTTTTGGCTGAATAAATGTCTTCTTTTTAGAAGTGTCTGTTCATATCCTTCACCCACTTTTTGATGTGGTTGGGTGTTTTTTTCTTGTAAATTTGTTTGAGTTCATTGTAGATTCTGGATATTAGCCTTTTGTCAGATGAGTAGGTTGCGAAAATTTTCTCCCATTCTGTAGGTTGCCTGTTCACTCTGATGGTAGTTTCTTTTGCTGTGCAGAAGTTCTTTAGTTTAATTAGATCCCATTTGTCAATTTTGGCTTTTGTTGCCATTGCTTTTGGTGTTTTAGACTTGAAGTCCTTGCCCATGCCTATGTCCTGAATGGTATTGCCTAGGTTTCCTTCTAGGGTTTTTATGGTTTTAGGTCTAATGTGTAAGTCTTTAATCCATCTTGAATTAATTTTTGTATAAGGTGTAAGGAAGGGATCCAGTTTCAGCTTTCTACATATGGCTAGCCAGTTTTCCCAGCACCATTTATTAAATAGGGAATCCTTTTCCCATTGCTTGTTTTTGTCAGGTTTGTCAAAGATCAGATGGTTGTAGATACACAGCATTATTTCTGAGGGCTCTGTTCTGTTCCGTTGATCTATATCTCTGTTTTGGTACCAGTACCATGCTGTTTTGGTTACTGTAGCCTTGTAGTATAGTTTGAAGTCAGGTAGCGTGATACCTCCAGCTTTGTTCTTTTGGCTTAGGATTGACTTGGCAATGTGGGCTCTTTTTTGGTTCCATATGAACTTTAAAGTAGTTTTTTCCAATTCTGTGAAGAAAGTCATTGGTAGCTTGATGGGGATGGCATTGAATCTATAAATTCCCTTGGGCAGTATGGCCATTTTCACAATATTGATTCTTCCTACCCATGAGCATGGAATGTTCTTCCATTTGTTTGTATCCTGTTTTATTTCATTGAGCAGTGGTTTGTAGTTCTCCTTGAAGAGTTCCTTCACATCCCTTGTAAGTTGGATTCCTAGGTATTTTATTCTCACTGAAGCAATTGTGAATGGTAGTTCACTCACGATTTGGCTCTCTGTTTGTCTCTTATTGGTGTATAAGAATGCTGGTGATTTTTGTATATTGATTTTATATCCTGAGACTTTGCTGAAGTTGCTTATCAGCTTAAGGAGATTTTGGGCTGAGACAATGGGGTTTTCTAGATATACAATCATGTCATCTGCAAACAGGGACAATTTGACTTCCTCTTTTCCTAATTGAATACCCTTTATTTCCTTCTCCTGCCTAATTGCCCTGGCCAGAACTTCCAACACTATGTTGAATAGGTGTGGTGAGAGAGGGCATCCCTGTCTTGTGCCAGTTTTCCAAGGGAATGCTTCCAGTTTTTGCCCATTCAGTATGATATTGGCTGTGGGTGTGTCATAGATAGCTCTTATTATTTTGAGATACATCCCATCAATACCTAATGTATTGAGAGTTTTTAGCATGAAGGGTTGTTGAATTTTGTCAAAGGCCTTTTCTGCATCTATTCAGATAATCATGTGGTTTTTGTCTTTGGTTCTGTTTATATGCTGGATTACATTTATTGATTTGCATATGTTGAACCAGCCTTGCATCCCAGGGATGAAGCCCACTTGATCATGGTGGATAAGCTTTTTGATGTGCTGCTGGATTGGGTTTGCCAGTATTTTATTGAGGATTTTTGCATCAATGTTCATCAAGGTTATTGGTCTAAAATTCCTCTTTTGGTTGTGTCACTGCCAGGCGTTTGTATCAGGATGATGCTGGCCTCCTAAAATGAGTTAGGGAGGATTCCTTCTTTTTCTATTGATTGGAATAGTTTCAGAAGGAATGGTACCATCTCCTCCTTGTACCTCTGGCAGAATTCCGCTGTGAATCCATCTGGTCCAGGCCTTTTTTTGGTTGGTAAGCTATTGATTATTGCCACAATTTCAGAGCCTGTTATTGTTCTATTCAGAGATTCAACTTCTTCCTGGTTTAGTCTTGGGAGGGTGTACGTAACAAGGAATTTATCCATTTCCTCTATATTTTGTAGTTTATTTGCGTAGAGGTGTTTATAGTATTCTCTGATGGTAGTTTGTATTTCTTTTGTTGTTGTTGTTGTTGTTTATACTCTTTAATTGAATTGATAAGGGACATAGATCTATTTAAAAACAAAACCAAACAGCTATTTCTGTCTAGATTAAGAGGTGGCCCCAGGTGAGGGATTCGCATTTTGAGTGGCCACTTGTGGTGCGACCTCGATGATCCTGGGTTTGTCTATGATTCTGGCTGTGCAGTTGCCCTTCTCCACAATCCCAATAATCCATGCTTGGTGGCCTTCACCATATTTGGGGGACTTTATCTCTGCACAGAACCGAGCTGTTTGCTCACGTGGCAGTTTGTATTTCTGTGGGATCCGTGATGATATCCCCTTTATCATTTTTTATTGCATCTATTTGATTCTTGTCTCTTTTCTTCTTCAGTAGTCTTGCTAGCAGTCTATCAATTTTGTTGATCTCTTCAAAAAACCAGCTCCTGGATTCATTAATCTCTGAAGGGTTTTTTGTGTCTCTGTTTCCTTCAGTTCTGCTCTGATTTTAGTTATTTCTTGCCTTCTGCTAGCTTTTGAATGTGTTTGCTCTTGCTTTTCTAGTTCTTTTAGTTGTGATGTTAGGGTGTCAATTTGGGATCTTTCCTTCTTTCTCTTGTGGGCATTTAGCGCTTTAAATTTCCCTCTACACACTGCTTTTAATGTGTCCCAGAGATTCTGGTATGTTGTGTCTTTGTTCTTGTTGGTTTCAAAGAACATCTTTATTTCTGCCTTCATTTTGTTATGTTCCCAGTAGTCATTCAGGAGCATGTTGTTCAGTTTCCATGTAGTTGAGCAGTTTTGAGTGAGTTTCTTAATCCTGAGTTCTAGTTTGATTGCACTGTGGTCTGAGAGACAGTTTGTTATAATTTCTGTTCTTTTACATTTGCTGAGGAGAGCTTTACTTCCAAGTATGTGGTCAATTTTGGAATAGGTGTGGTGTGGTGCTGAAAAGAATGTATATTCTGTTGATTTGGGGTGGAGAGTTCTGTAGATGTCTATTAGGTCTGCTTGGTGCAGAGCTGAGTTCAATTCCTGGATATCCTTGTTAACTTTCTGTCTCGTTGATCTGTCTAATGTTGACAGTGGGGTGTTAAAGTCTCCCATTATTATTGCGTGGGAGTCTAAGTCTCTTTGTAAGTTTCTAAGGACTTGCTTTATGAATCTGGGTGCTCCTGTATTGGGTGCATATATATTTAGGATCATTAGCTCTTGTTGAATTGATCCTTTTACCATTATGTAATGGCTTTGTCTCTTTTGATCTTTGTTGGTTTAAAGTCTGTTTTATCAGAGACTAGGATTGCAACCCCTGCCTCTTTTTGTTTTCCATTTGCTTGGTAGATCTTCCTCCATCCCTTTATTTTGAGCCTATGTTTGTCTCTGCGTGTGAGATGGGTTTCCTGAATACAGCGCAGTGATTGGTCTTGACTGTTTATCCAATTTGCCAGTCTGTGTCTTTTAATTGGAGCATTTAGCCCATTTACATTTAAAGTTAATATTGTTATGTGTGAATTTGATCCTGTCATTATGATGTTAGCTGGTTATTTTGCTCGTTAGTTGATGTAGTTTCTTCCTAGCCTTGACGGTCTTTACCTTTTGGCATGTTTTTGCACTGGCTGGTACCGATTGTTCCTTTCCATGTTTAGTGCTTCCTTCAGGAGCTCTTTTAGGGCAGGCCTGGTGGTGACAAAATCTCTCAGCATTTGCTTGTCTGTAAAGTATTTTATTTCTCCTTCACTTATGAAGCTTAGTTTGGCTGGATATGAAATTCTGGGTTGAAAATTCTTTTCTTTAAGAATGTTGAATATTGGTCCCACTCTCTTCTGGCTTGTAGAGTTTCTGCCGAGAGTTCAGCTGTTAGTCTGATGGGCTTCCCTTTGTGGGTAACCCGACCTTTCTCTCTGGCTGCCCTTAACATTTTTTCCTTCATTTCAACTTTGGTGAATCTGACAATTATGTGTCTTGGAGTTGCTCTTCTGGAGGAGTATTTTTGTGGGGTTCTCTGTATTTCCTGAATTTGAATGTTGGCCTGCCTTGCTAGATTGGGGAAGTTCTCCTGGATATTATCCTATTATCCTGCAGAGTGTTTTCCAACTTGGTTCCGTTCTCTCCGTCACTTTCAGGTATACCCATCAGATGTCGATTTGGTCTTTTCATGTAGTCCCATATTTCTTGGAGGCTTTGTTCGTTTCTTTTTATTCTTTTTTCTCTAAACTTCCCTTCTCGCTTCATTTCATTCGTTTCATCTTCCATCACTGATACCCTTTCTCCAGTTGATTGCGTCGGCTCCTGAGGCTTCTGCATTCTTCACGTAGTTCTCAAGCCTTGGCTTTCAGCTCCATCAGCTCCTTTAAGGACTTCTCTGCATTGGTTATTCTAGGTATCCATTTGTCTAATTTTTTTTCAAAGTTTGTAACTTCTTTGCCATTGGTTTGAATTTCCTCCTCTAGCTTGGAGTATTTTGGTCATCTGAAGCCTTCTTCTCTCAACTCATCAAAGTCATTCTCCTTCCAGCTTTGTTCTTTTGCTGGTGGGGAGCTGCATTCCTTTGGAGGAGGAGAGGCACTCTGCTTTTTAGAGTTTCCAGTTTTTCTGCTCTGTTTTTTCCCCATCTTTTTGTTTTTATCTGTTTTGGTCTTTGATGATGGTGACGTACAGATGGGTTTTTGGCGTGGTTGTCCTTTCTGTTTGTTAGTTTTCCTTCTAACAGAAAAGACCTTCAGCTGCATGTCTGTTGGAGTTTGCTAGAGGTCCACTCCAGACCCTTTTTGCCTGGGTATCAGCAGTGGTCGCTGCAGAACAGCAGTGGCTATAGAACAGCGGATATTGGTGATCCGCAAATGCTGTTGCCTGATCGTTCCTCTGGAAGTTTTGTCTCAGAGGAGTACCTGGCCTCGTGAGGTGTCAGTCTGCCCCTACTGGGGGGTGCCTCCCAGTTAGGCTGCTGGGGGGTCAGGGACCCACTTGAGGAGGCAGTCTGCCTGTTCTCAGATCTCCAGCTGCGTGCTGGGAGAACCACTACTCTCTTCAAAGCTGTCAGACAGGGACATTTAAGTCTGCAAAGGTTACTGCTGCCCTTTGTTTGTCTGTGCCCTGCCCCCAGAGGTGGAGCCTAGAGGCAGGCAGGCGTCCTTGAGCTGTGGTGTGCTCCACCCAGTTTGAGTTTCAGGGCTGCTTTGTTAACCTAATCAAGCCTGGGCAATGGCAGACACCCCTCCCCCAGCCTCACTGCCACCTTGCAGTTTGATCTCAGACTGCTGTGCTAGCAATCAGCGAGACTCCGTGGGCGTAGGACCCTCTGAGGCAGGTGCAGGATATAATCTCCTGGTGTGCCATTTTTTAAGCCAGTTGGAAAGGCGCAGTATTAGGGTGGGAGTGACCCAGTTTTCCAGGTGCCATCCGTCACCCCTTTCTTTGACTAGGAAAGGGAACTCCCTGACCCCTTGCACTTCCTGAGTGAGGCAATGCCTTGCCCTGCTTTGGTTCGCGCACGGTGTACGCACCCACTGTCCTGCGCCCACTGTCTGGCACTCCCTAGTGAGATGAACCCGGTACCTCAGATGGAGATGCAGAAATCACCCGGCTTCTGCGTCGCTCACACTGGGAGCTGTAGAGGGGAGCTGTTCCTATTCAGCCATCTTGGCTCCACCCGAGAATTTGGTTTTCACGAAAAGTCTCAGAGTGACATCGAATAAGCATACATTGTTTAAATAGGAGATCAGGATTTTAAGTCCTACTTCTAGTATTTTTATTTCTGTAATTTGGACTGCTCATTTAATATTTCTGGGTCCCAGTTTTTTAATTTCTAAAATTTAAACCTCAAGGTGTTATAAGTATTATACATTAAAATAACAGGTTAATTTTACCCCCCAAAATGTAAAGAAAACTGTAATATTATAGTATTTCAAAAAAAAAGTATCTGACCAAAATTTTATGATTTACATTCAGCTTATTTCTACCATAAATACCATGAGAAAATGAGATTCCTAAATGTTTTCCTCTTTGAAATGAGCGATTATCACCATTTCCCTTTTGTGGAAATACTATATTATTTTCATTGATTTTTTCATTTAAAGTTATTTAAAAGTAATTTTACAAGTACAGATATGAGAGTTTGCTATTTTGTAGCACTGATAGAATTTCTGTATAAGCTAAATTAAATCAATGGGAAATAATAGGTTCTGAATTTAAGTGATTTATCTTTTTCTATGAATAAGAGTGACAAGAAACTGATAATTTATAGCAAAAGAAAATTATGGGACATACCCTGTCCCATAAACATTTCTGGCAAGAATAAAATATAAGTTTATAGAAGCATCAGTTATTGAATAGAACAAAAATGTATTTAAAATCCTACTGCATGTCAAATGACTGCATGATATTAAAGGATTTCTGTGAGGAATTTGCTTTCTGCCCAGAGAAGAAACAGAGCCTGGGGGTAAGCAAATTTAGAATAAAATATAATATAGTAAGGAAAGAATGAGGAAAGTGCCAAAGAGAAATATAATTAAATGAACTGAGGATTAAAAGGTCCCAGATCAGGGCTGGAGCTTGACCATGGGTGGCACGAAAAGGCACTCTAGGTATATGGCATTTTAGGCTATACATAATAGGTTGAGAAATTTGTTTGTGGTTAAGATCACGATGGGAAGGAGAGCTACTTTGAGGGAGCAATACCATTTTACCTGCAAGGGAAACAAGATTTGAAATACAGGATTCTGACCACATTTTGATAATCAGACTTGTAAATGGCTTGAAGCACAGAAAACTAGTAATACTATAGTAAAGATGAAGTAGAATGTGTAGAAAACTAGTAATACTATAATAAAGTAAGGTTGGGATTATATTGCTGAGACTTAAGGGAAACCTTTGAGTTCTTTGAATTGCGAAGTAATAAAGCATGAACTGGATTTTAGGAAATTTTATTTGGCTATTGTTAGAAGGATAAGTTAAATGGGCCAGAGTAGGCCAGGCCAAAACATAATAAGGTTCTCCTCTTGAGCACAGAAAACAGACAAAGTGGGTAGAACAGACACGAAAGAGAGAGAAACTACAAAAGTTGGCAACTGATGGATTTTCAGGGTGAGGGAGGAGGAAGTATCAAACATAATTATAAGGTTAGCAGACAGAAGGATGATAACAGGTAAATGGAAATGGGACTGTCAAGAAGATGATTTGCCTTTGGGCAAGGAACACTGGGTGCTGTTTTGATTAGAGCTTAGATAAACTGAAATGACACAAAGTGTAGAAATCATAGTTTGGACTTGTGTTACAAGTGTCAAAAGTTACCCCTCTGAGTCTTCTATACAATAGCAGCTCCATTTTTTAAAAGTGTATAGTTAGCACATAACACTCTAGGAAAACAGCTGAGGACCTTCACAGCCCTGAGTCACATGATTGCCAACAAAGCCTAACTCTCCAAGAGTGCTGTTGCTTGAACAAGTTCAGATCAAATCAGTTCAGACTGAAAGCAGAGAGCTGCACAAATCGCAGTGCAAGACAGATATGTCCACTCCACTCAAATCCTTTGTTTCTCATATTATCCCAACAAATTTCAAGTAACTTTTAGAATGTTATCAATGCCTGTGGCTGTATTCAGGCATAAACATAGAAAATATTGAATAGAATAAATTTAAAACATTTAAAGCTAATAGTTTATAGACTTCATCATCCACACCAAAATATTTTATTTTAAATGGTGGTGGTGAAGGTGTCATGACCTTTTATATTAAAAGGTGTGTAATTATAGGTGTATTGTTCAAAAACAAAAAACAGCTATGAAAACACTCAGGACTACCTAAGAAACCTTTTTCTCTGTGAAAAAGATAGATACAGAGATAGAGATAGATAAATACACGTACATACCTGTATGATTTTCTCTCAGCAAAACCAAGTTAGGTTGTCAAACAGGAAGCTGCCCTTTTGCAGGCAACATGGAAAGATATGAGATCTCATTATATTAACTACAGGTGGTAAAGAAATACTCTTCCCGGATTACTAGTGTCTCCTAAGATAATTGAAAATCCAGAAGCATATCTTAACAATTTAATTTATTCACTTAAAACATATTCAGGGTTGTCTTGTCTCAGAAAACAAAGAACACAGAGCAAGAGTCTTCTTCCTAAGCAGCAATATTCTTGGTATTTATGAAGACAGTCCTGTCATAAGCATTTTATCTCTCCCAGAGTTAAAGAATATTTTATCCAATGGGTTAATTAATACTTAGTTTCCCTTCCTTTTGCATATTTTTCCTACCACTATCCTTTCCCTGCCATCTGTTTACTTAAGTTGACATTTGTGCTCCTTTTCCTTTGTTCTCCTCTACAATTGTATACTATTTTTAAGTCCATGTGGTATACAGTCCACCTTTTTCAGAACATCTTGTGCCTCTGTTCCTACATCATATTACAGCACTTCCATTAATCAAAGTTGATTCGAATTATAGAGAGGATCAATGTTTCCAAGTCACCATGCCTATAGCTTGGGGTAGCTGCCATTCAGGTGATCACTGATACCTATTAAAATTGTTGGGTCAGTACATCCTAAACAACAAAGGACATGAAATAATTAAATAGCAAGGTCCTTTGTCAAACCGTATTTAAAGGCTTAACATGGAACATGCCATGACAACTGAGTTTCTGTTTAATAGTGATTCCGTATTTTTATTAAAGAAACATTCTGGAGTTTCTTGTGACTTTTGTTTAGGATAAAAAGTAAAAAAATAACTCCCTTTTCTACCTTCGACATTATAGCATAGCAATTCAGGACAATAAGGTACTCAGGATATATACACACATATACACACAGAAATTATTCCAGAAATAGCAAATAAATGGCAATAGGCATCCTACAGAACACACTGGAGGAATAAACTTTCATCAGCAATCAAATTGATAAAATAGATACAGTTAAAATGAACTTTGAATAAAGTTCATGAGCCAAGCATGGGAGTAAGAACCCTGATTAAAAGTACAAAGTTTCACATAAATTGTAAGTGGCCAGAAATAGCACAGGAAAAGAACAATATACAGAACACATGACAACCTGAGAGGAAGAATCCAGATAAAAATAGAGAAAAAGAGTCTTGGCACATCAGGGCTCCTCTGAAAGGCACCAGGATTGATGTCATAACAGCCTGTATCATGGTTGTTTTGAGAGATCTGCTCATAAGAGCTGAGTATTAAAATGTGGACAGATCTCGTCACAACATAGGTTGTGTCATGCTAAACTAACTCCTTACTTTTCTTAATAAAATCTCTATTTAAAAAAGGGAAAATACTTTTAAGCTTGTGGTAGATATCTGGACTGGGTGGCCCATGTCAGTTTACTGCAGTAAAGACTTTTATGCTGAGATCAGATAATACTAGGTAAATTGCACTCAACACAGAATGTTGCTTTAAAAGGTCATAACTCCATCTGAAAGCAATGAACTTATTTCAAATATAGATTACAGGAATATCTAGATCCATGGCACTCAAAATGTTAAATCTGCAGGCCAAGCGAGGTGGCTCACACCTGTAATCCCTAAACTTTGGGAAGCTGAGGCAGGAGGATTGCTTGAGGCCAAGAGTTCCAGAGCAGCCTGGGCACCACAGCAATTCTCTGTCTCTAAAAAAAAATATTAAATTAGCTGAGCATGGTGGCATGGACCTGTAGTCCCAGCTACTCAGGAGGCTGAGGTGGAGGATCACTTGAGCCCAGGACTCCAAGGCTGCAGTAAGCTGTGATTACACCACTGTACTTCAGCCTCGGTGACAGAATGAGACCCTGTCTCTAAAATAAATAAATAAATAGACAGATAATGTTAATTTTTGCAAACAAGAGATTATGTAAAGAGCACTCAAAATTATTTATATCTTACTTATACATCTAAAATGATATAGATAGCTCAAGAATTTAACACAAAGGCTAGAGATAAATTTATTATTTCCTTCAACCAATATTGATCATTTTGTTACTGACACATTTTAAGTTTCATGTCTTCAAATATTATTAGTTTTCTCTCTTCATTAGATGTTTTTCAGTCTCTTTAATTATCTCTTCAAGCAAGTATTTACCTTTTAGTACTTGGAATGTTGTAGTATTATCCAAACATCTCTTTGTTACTGCGTCTGAGCCTGAGCCTGAATGCTGTATCTATTTGCAAGTTTCTCCTAGCAAGCTCATCTATCTCGTCATCTAAGACTCCTCAAATCCTTTGTTAACACTGTTGGGAGTAAATAAATAATCAAATCTACATAGATATTTTGGGTATTGACTTACCCTCCATACTCTACCTACTGGACTAAATAATTCTCTTTTAAATCAAATTAATGAAAGATAATCACATCTCCAACCCCCCCCAACCAACTATCTCCAAGTTATTACTTATAGAGCATTAATTCATATCTTTATTTTTTCAACAAATATTTATTCAGCATTTACTAACTAGGTTCTTAAAATTCTCCTAAATACGAGTGAAGGCAAAGAGGGCTGAAATACATATTGCTCTCGAACAGCTCATAACTGAATATAAAACATCCAAATTTTGCTTAATGAAAATATTGAACCACATCTTTGGTGAAATCGGGAGCTATGGAACTTGTATACCTAATCCAGATGATGATAGCAAAACTGAGTAAAATGAGTAGGAAGGTAGAAATGGAAACCAATACTTGGCCAGATCATTGAAGACCTGAATATACATTTTGGTGAAAAAGAAAATAAGAGAAATCAGATGTATTTTGGAAGATGAGGGAATTCAAACTGCAATGGAAAGACTTCACAGTATAACCTACTGGGGGAGCCAAAAAGAACACTTTCTGTGGTAGGGTAAGATAGGCACAAAGTCAGTGGTTCGGGAAACAGCAATTGTCAATTAGACTAGAAGCGAGCTCTGTGGGTTCTTTATTTTCAAACTTAATTCAGTAATTTTATCAGGAGCAAAAACGGTTTTAAAAAATTTATTATCTCTGTGAGCTGGGTCAGAGGTACAGATCTCAGGAATTAAAAGACTACTCACCTAATCTCTGCACTATCCAATCTTCTCTCAGGAAGGCATTTTTAAAATAATAAAATAAAAATGAGCTTTCTTATTAGTGTGTTTCCTCAAGCTCATCCCATTTCAATTCACACATGAAAAGTCTGTGACCTGGATAGCATACTCTGAGCTATATGAAGCAAACACACACACACGAACTGAAAAGAAAAAAAAAAATAGCAGAAAAGCACACATTTCCCCAGACTGCCAATCCAATATTTCTCTTTGGAATCATTGTAGATAATTCTCTGTGGTAAAAGCAATCTGTTTTTGGCCAATAAACAGGAAATAACAAAGTGTGAGTAAGGAAGGCTATCTTATTAACCACTTTGGGAGAAATAAGCTTTCAGTTTTGCTATTGACAAAAGAGCGAATAAAACAAATTAGCATTGTTTCAGAACTATTTCCCACTCTGGACTACCTTGAGATCATAAAGTAAAACTCCAGTTAAAAATTAAAATACTATGGTTAAAAAAAGAAAATAAGTTGTAATTACCACTTTAAAAATAAAAATAGCCTTTAATTATTGTTAAATATTTTAATAAACATTACTATTAAACATTTTAAAATCTCAACCTATATAGGTCTACATAGAATACCTGCTCATTTTAGATTATATAAATGTTATTTAACTATTTGTTTTGTAAATACAAATATATGCAAAAATACAATACGTTTTTATGGAAACAATTTGGTAATTTATGGTCAGATACCTTTTATACTTTTCAGTAATATATCAACTGCTTATCCCTTTGAGATTAAATAAGTACCAACTTTTGAAATATATTTTTTTTTCCCTGAAGAGGACTCCTTATAGACACAAAGATTTAAGCTTATTTCCAGAGCTATGATACTTCTATTGTAATACAATAGTGAGATAAAATTACATGCTAGATATTTGGCCTACAAAGGAGCAACTTTATGCCAAAGTATTCATTCAACAATTGTGTTTGCTTAAATTGGAATTGGGTTTACCAAGCCTCATCAGCATAATGCACACTAAACTCTTGAAAAAGAACTACAATCAAAGCAAAACTAGATTTAATTTTGGCTTTGTTCTCATTTGCCCTCTTTATATAAAATTGAAGGAATAATTCTAAGAGAAAATATGAAATAGAGTCTTCAACAATTTGATAAAATCATTGAAATAAAAGGGAAAAGACAAAGTCAAGCCTACTTATTAAGTACAGAAGTGTGTGTGTTTGTGTGTGTCTGTGTGTGAATAGATGTGTGTGCAAAAGGTAAAGAATGGAGACAGATTTTTTGTAAGAAAGTATGCTTATACATGAAAATAAAACTAATGAATTATTTTTTTTTGAATAATTTTGTTTCAGACTATATATGTGTTAAATGCAATTTCATAGTGAGGTTAAATTATCTGGAATCTTATGCATAAGTTTATTAACTCAACAAACATTTATTAAGCACCTGTACCAGCCAGACAATCTGAAAGATAGCGTATGTGGTCTTTATGATTTAAAAACTCTTATTTTGGCAGGGCCCAGTGGCTCACACCTGTGGTCCCAGCACTTTGGGAGGCCAAGGCGGGTGGATCACCTGAGATCAGGAGTTCCAGAACAGCCTGACCAACATGGTGAAACCCCATTTCTACTAGAAATACAAAAATTAGCTGGTCGTGGTGGCGGGTGCCTGTAATCCCAGCTATTCGGGAGGCTGAGGCAGGAGAATGGCTTGAACTTGGAAGGCAGAAGTTGCAGTGGGCCAAGATTGCACCACTGCACTCCAGCCTGGGCAAGAAGAGTGAAACTATGTCTCAAAAAATAAAAAAAAATTAAAAAAACCCTGTTATTTTTATTATTATAATTCTTTTTGGCTATTACTGGTGTAAACACAGTTCACGCTTCGCTCCATATACAGTTATGTGTGGTGTCCACACAAATAATGTGTATAACATATCTCAAATTTTCTGACTTGGAAACCAAAACAGGAACTGATTTCTTCATAAAAACATGCCCTTCTCCACCCTCTCCATTCTCTGCTAACCCTCACTACTCAAAATACTTGGTTTAATGGTTTGTCTTTTGTTCTGGGATTAGAATACCTTTGTATTAGAGACTGACAATGAGAATGGAAAAAAACAATGAAGGCTGTAGGGAGGGAAGGATAAATAGGTGGAGAACAGGGACTTTTAGGACAGTGAAACTATTCTATAATGGCAGATCCATTATGCGGTTGTCAAAACCCATAGAATGTATAACACAAAGAGTAAACCCTAATATAAACTGTGGACTTTAGTTAATAAAGGGGAGATCCACTCTCAGTTGCCAGTGTCACCACACTTTCCAGGACAAGATCCACAATTCTACCAAAAGAGACCCAGCAGGGCTAGCTTTATGGGCCAGGGAGCTGTGCAGTTAACCCTTTCTTGGTTGAATGCTCTGCTATTGCCAGCTTGAAATTCTTAATAATTTTATCTTTGATCTTGTTTTTTCTAAGTAAAGTCTTTGGGACAGTGGAGCATGCAACATGAGCAAGAGAGATGCCAGTAGGCAATAGACACACACAGGCTGAAGCCCACAGGCATGGGGGACAGCAGGCAGCAGGCAGGGGACACCCAGAACAGTTGGCCCAGCTGCCTGTGTGCCTGTGTGTGCCTGCCTTTGCCTGGGGAAGTCCTGGGGAAGGGGATTGTTCCAATGGGACCTACAATAGCAGCACCAGCCACCAGAGATGGCCACAGCCTGGAACAAAAGAGGGCCACTGCCCAGAGGAGCACCATAGGAGCGTTGCCTAAGAGAGCACCAGTGCGCTTCATAGGAGGGAACTTGACCATTCATTCTCAAAGTCTTACTTGTGTCATTTGCTCAAATGGAACTAGCTAGTGTGAGGTCTAGGACAAAAACTGTTGGCCCTTAGGGACTAGATTTTGTGAGTAAATTACTACAAAATATAAGGGTAGATATGGATATTACAGCAGAGCATATATCAGAATTAGAATTACTCAAAGTGTTTAGATTCTGTTTTTGAAAGCTGCTTCAACATTGTGAAGCAAATATCACAGGCTAAAGAGAAAGAAATTATATTTAAAAATTGTTACATTCAGTGGGAAAAAATGCTACATTCATATGATGCTTCAAAATACAATTTTAAAATTCATTTTACAAGTAACTTTTTATATAGTTGGAAGATACACCATAGAATGCATAACCAGTCCTTTTGAATTACATGCAGGCCATGAAGCCAATTTGAGTTTCTCATACAACTTTCATAAGTTACAGATGTCAAAAGAAACATTAAAATGTTATTATATGAATTTAAATCCAAAATTAAATTCAGACTTATGAAACCAATTTGCATGAAGAGTTAAATCTTTTTAGAAAAATTGCTCATGAGACTAATCAACAACTCTAGATGTTCTAAAAGGTGACATAGTCTATAAAATACACCTAGCTGCTCCAGTAAAAATTCCATAATCAGAGAGATTCACCTAGATATTTAAACATAAAAATTACTTGTGATCTTACATTTACCAAGAGAATCTGGTGTTGCTTTCAATTATATTAATAAAAAATGAAGTTGTTAAAAGTATAAATTTTGGTGACTGATAAATGAATTTTCAGAAAAGGAAACCAGAACAATCTTAAGATCAGTCAAGATGAATCATTAACAAAGTATTATATTATATAAAAAGTTGACACTAAAAATGTTTTTGCAAGTTTCAACTTTATGTTGTTATGCATGTATTACCATTACTCCTATTACATTTCATAAGATATAAGACATTTTAAAGGAAAGGGCTTTATCCTTAAGACATTTCTAAAGGAAAATGTTTCATCCATATTTTGTTATTTTTAACTTCACTCTTTTTTCTTGCTTTTGGAACAAGCAACCTGCATTTTTATTTTGGAAGAGTCCCACAAATTATGTAGTGGTCCCGACCCAGGCATGCCCTCATGAATAACGATAAATTTAAGCATAACCTGAAGCATTAATGTATGAATTTAAATCCAAAATTAAATTCAGACTTACATGAAGCATCCCATGTGTGCATGCTTTAGACTAGTTCATTATAAACAGCCTCACTGGTCCTAGGGAAGAGGAGGGGTACTGCTCCTTTCTTCCTTACACAGGGGCATGTATTCATTCTGCCAGTGTTTGTTGACAGCATACTGTGCCAAACACTATGCTAGCCTGTAGGAGATGGGAACAAAATAGGCATAAAGTCCTGTGCTCAGAGAACAGTCTGGTGGAAGAGGTAGACAATATACAAGTAAGCAAATAGGTATTTAGTTTCCAATTATAATTGATGTTATGCAGAACACTAATTATTATAACAGAGAATAAATTGTGGCAAATAATTTAGATAGAAGTGAGGAAAACCCTTTCTAAGGAGAGCTGACATATATGTGAAGCCTACTGCAGGCAGAGGGAACAGTATGTGTGAGAACCCTGAGGCTAGAAAGGGTGTCGCATATTCAAAATCTAAAAGAACCATTGGTAGCTTGAGCTTATTGAAAGGTGGGGAGTACAAGTCAAGGTTAGTTTAAGGATATATGGAGGGGCCACATAATGCAGACCTTGGTAGGCCATGAGACACATTTGGATCTTGTATGTACAGTGGAAAGCAATGGAGAGGTTTTAAGCAGAGGAGTGATATTATAATTTTTGTTTTTCAAATGACCCTTGCTGTTGAATTATAGAAGACCTGATTACAGTGGATCCAAAAAAGGCCCAGTTGGGAACATCTTGCCACAACCCCAATGAGAGACACCAATGGTTCAGAGAGAGCAGATAGCAGTGGAATTACAGGGAAGTTATGACTTTTGAGGTGTGTTTCCTGAAATACCCTTTGGTATGTAGAGAATTCAAGTGAGAAAGGGACCAAAAGTGGGTCCAGGTTTGCAGACAGAGCATTAAATATTGAACTTATTTAATGGAAAGCAGGCTGGGGTGTGGACTAAGGAACTTAGGTTACCATGTACCACAGTAAAATACCATGCACACAAGGGAACTTTGTGTTGACTTCAATTTCATTTTGCTATGGTCATTGTGCCAGTTTGTGTATTGTTAACATCTATGAACTCTCTGACCTTAAAAAATTGGTATTTTTCTTTGTAAAACATTTCTTCCTTTATAAAATTAATATACATGGCATCTCTTATTCTATTTAAATTTCCCAATTATATTGGAAAATCACATTTTTAAAACCACCCCTAATAGCCAGGAAAAATAACAACAAAATTCAGGAAGCTGCCCTGTTGTTGTTCCCACAAAATTTAATAAAATTAAATATGAGTAAATTAGGCTGCTACTTTAAACTGGTCAAGACTTGACCTGGCACATGGTTCTTTCAAATTCAGTAAAGGAGTAAGTTAATTAGTTTAATTAGTTTTTCTTCATTTAGTACAGTTTCTTCTTCATAAAGCTTTCTTCTTAAGATAATATATTCTTTATGCCAAGGTTTTTGATGAGTCTGTAAATCTACTTTATTAAGTCATATGATGTAGCTTTACCCATATTCTTTGAGAATTTTTTAAAAGGAAAAATTATATTTTTCTCTTAAATACACTATAATCAAGGTTTTTCAGTTTTCATTCCATTCTTCTTTCTCTTTGGTAGAAAAGTTTTATTCAGCCATCCCCAACTAAATGTGTGTTTGTGTTTTTGTGCAGTACTAAAATATTTCTTTGGAATGAAAGAAGAGAGACATTTTTAAATATGATGGGTTTATTCTTAACTTATATTTTCTCACTTACTGGGTGAGAAAGTGCTAAAACAAAGCTATACCTCCAGCACATTTTATAAAACTACTTGCCTCACATTTGAAAACTTCCAGCTAAAAATTTGGAAGAGAAATGAAAAAAAAATAAATTGTTTTCTTAACCAAGGAAAGAAGATATTATCTTGCAGCAAAATCTGTACCTGTTTAATATTTTTTTTTTCTAGAAAGGGGGATAAAGCTCTTTTTTCATACTAGTTAGGTTTCAATCAGTAAAAAGGACAACGAATACAACCCACAAAAATACTATTAAAATACATCAGTGGTAGTAGTAGTAGTAGTAGTAGTAGTAGTAGTAGTAGTAGTAGTAGTAGTAGTAGTATTATCATGGGATTTAAAACTCAAAGCAGAGTAAGAACATATATTCCAAAATGATGAATTACTGGCAATCAAGTACAAAACCTGAAATAGGCCTGATAACTGGTAACCTGGCAAGGAAGGCCTGGGTGCCACAGAGAGCTCTAATTTTATTGCCCATTTTCTTAAATGAAGAAATGCTCATTTCCTATAGATAGAATCAACATCGTTCTTGTTCTGCATTAGTGGTGATTAGAACTAGAGAACCTCTAGGGAACCTGGTGATATTGACTCACTGAATAAAATACGTTTATACGGATAGATACTTTGTGAGCCACGTATTTGAGAGTGTGAAGGAAGTCAGACATAAGGTACAGAAATACAGTGGGAAGTGCTTAAGTGAGAGAAATACAACTGGAAGTGAGACAGGTGAGAGTAGAGTAGGGGTAAATAAGAAGGGGAGGGAAGAGAAAGGGAGAACTGGGAAAGGAATAAGGGTAAGTGGGGAAGAGGAGAGGTGGGAGGAGATGCAGAGGTATGACTATGGGGATGGGATATGGTAGAGAGAGGAGAAAGGTAATGGGTTGAGAGCTTAGGAGGAGAGGAAAGAGGTTGAAAAGACAAGGTGTGCACATGATCACTAGACTGTATGCTATAAAGTAATGTTAGCAACAAAGATGGAAAGGAATGAAGACAAGACACAACTTTTCAAGTTCCAGAGCCCAATCACAACCCTTTATCTCCATTAAGATGTTTGTATAGTTTGTAGCTTATACTGGATGAAAAAAAGTTAAGAAACCTTTTTGTTGTTGTTTTAAACTCAGAAAGATCCCATAGCCCTTAGCATGGGTGCTGTTATACATGAACACAGTGGAAGTTTAATAAATTGATAAAATAGAAACCTGGCAATGATTGTCTTCATATGGGTTTTGAATTTAACATCAATACAAAGAAACGTATTAAGCAAAGCTTCTATCCATGACTCTCTGTGAATAACGTATGGTCAATAAATGACATCAACATCTCTTGTTTCATTCTGTGTCACTTATTAATTATATATAATTATATATACAATTAATAACACACAAGTGTATATAATCACATAGTGGAATATTTACATATACCATGTATATATAATATATATGTATATGAAAGAAAATGCTTTATTCAAATGTTATCTAATCCAAAAGGCATCTTTTTTAGGGTTCAGATGCCTTTAATGAATGCTAAACACATTCTTTGTAATATTGACTATACAACTTTTAAATGCTGGTAAAGGAGTTGTCTCTTTGGGGCCAAATACATTTCTTATTACTGCTATTCACAAATGTTTAAACACTTTCAATTTTCCTAGAAACCTGGCACATTAAATGGAAATTCAAGTTCCATATGAGGGTAAGACTGCAGAAGTTGAATTGTTACAGCCAATGATCACTTTTATACATTAGGCTCCTTATTCTTTATATTCCACGTGCTGAGCAAATGAAGCATTTGGAGAAATGTGTACTTTTTTTTGTCACACAGCCTGATGGGAAAAAAGAGTAGAACAAGGCATGAGTGAAGGAGATTTGCTGTCCGAGGAGAGGCCTTCTGTAAACAAAAGGTATTTGTACTGCAAAGGACTCAGGGCTGAGACCCAGTTCTACTGGGAAACTAGGAAGGCTCATGGGCCAAGGAGCTATTGGAGGTCTGAAGTTGAGAGGTCCTAAATGGTAAGTGCAGGCACTAAGAATGTTTCTAAGAAGCAGCAGCTGGCCACATAAAGAGGGTAAAAATCTATGAACTACAAATATAGACACAGAAGCCAATTCTTTTTTTTATTATTATACTTTAAGTTCTGGGGTACATGTTGAGAACGTGCGAGTTTGTTACATAGGTATACACGTGCCATGGTGGTTTGCTTTACCCATCAACCCGTCATCTACATTAGATATTTCTCCTAATGCTATGCATCCCCTAGCCCCCCACCCCCAGACAGGCTCTGGTTTGTGATGTTCCCCTCCCTGCGTCCATGTGTTCTCATTATTCAACTCCCACTTATGAGTGAGAACATGCAGTGTTTGGCATTCTGTTCTTGTGTTAGTTTGCTGAGAATGATGGTTGCCAGCTTCATCCATGTCCCAGCAAAGGACATTAACTCATCCTTCATGGCTGCATAGTAATCCATGGTGTATATATGCCACATTTTTTAAATCCAGTCTATCATTGATGGGCATTTGGGTTGGTTCCAAGTCTTTGCTATTGTGAACAGTGCCGCCATATGCATACATGTGCATGAGTCTTTATAGTAGAATGATTTATAATCCTTTGAGAAATACCCAGTAATGGGATTGCTGGGTCAAATGATATTTCTAGTTCTAGATCATTGAGGAATCACCACACTGTCTTCCACAATGGTTGAACTAATTTACACTCCCACAAACAGTGTAAAAGCATTCCTATTTATTCACATCCTCTTCAGCATCTGTTGTTTCCTGACTTTTTAATGATCTACATTCTAACTGGTGTTAGATGGTATCTCAATGTGGTTTTGATTTGCATTTCTCTAATGGCCAGTGATGGTGAGCTTTTCTTCATATGTTTGTTGGCCGCATAAATGTATTCTTTTGACAAGTGTCTGTTCATATCCTTCGCCCACTTTTTGTTGGGGTTGTTTGTTTTTTTCTTGTAAATTTGTTTGAATTCTTTGTAGATTCTGGATATTAGCCCTTTGTCAGATGGATAGATTGCAAAAATTTTCTCCCATTCTGCAGGTTGCCTGTTCACTCTGATGACAGTTTCTTTTGCTCTGCAGAAGCTCTTTAGTTTAATTAGATCCCATTTGTCTATTTTGGCTTTTGTTGACATTGCTTTTGGTGTTTTAGTCATGAAGTCTTTTCCCATGCCTATGTCCTGATAGAAATCATATATCTGAATAGAGGAAGAAAACCAAAGGGAGTAGCAGTAGTAGGGAAGGAAAAGGTTTCTACACATAGAGACTGAGCTCTTACTGTTACTTTGCAGGGAGATAACATGGGCATATCACATGTTCTCACTCTCAATTTTTTCATCTATTAAATAGAGATAAAAACTCATGGGGTTATTGGAAGAGTTAAATCAGACAACATTTGTGAAGTTGCTTTGCAAACCAGTGAGCTATATACATTTGGCATTTATCTTTAGGTAAATGCAAATTTCTTCATGGTGATGAAAGGATTTATGCCAAAAAGTAAACATTATTTGTTATCCTTCTGAGAGAGAGACAGCTGATTAACTCTTTTTAAATTAAGCTTTTACTTAGAAGTAATTGTGTATTTAAAAACTAAGAAATAAGGCAAAGAAACCTCACATACTCTTTGTTCCATTTCTCCCAAAAGTAACATCTTTCAAAACTAAAGTACAATATAACTATGGGTATATTGACAATGACATATTCAAGATACAAAAGTTTCATCACCACAAGGATCCATGATTTTCCTCTTTCATAGCCATGTCCACCTCCCCTGTACCACCATGCCCCCTGCCATTCCTGACCCCTGACAAACACTATTCTCTTTGCTGTTTCAATTTGTCATTTAAAAAATGTTTTATAAGTGGACTCCTGGAAGTGGTATTCTTCCCTCAGCATAAATCTCTGGAGATTCATCCAAGTTGTGTGTATCAGTAGTTTCCTCCTTTTTATTGCTGAGTAATATTTCATGATATGGAGGTACCACAATTGTTTAACCATTCATGTGTTGAAGCATTCCTGGGTGGTTTCCAGGTTTTTGAATTTACCATTAAAGCTGCTATGAACATTTTTGTATAGGTTTTGATGTATAGGTTTTAATTTCTATGGGATAAATGTACAAGACTGCAAATGTTGCTTATATGATAGATACATGTTCAGGTTTAGAAAACAAAAACAAAACTCAATTTTTTCCAGAGTGACTGTACCATTTTACATTCTGATCAGCAATGTATGAATGATCTACTTTTTCTATATCCTTGCTAGGATTTGATACTGTCATTATTTTTTTATTTTAGCCATTCTGATAGCTATGTATTAATAGTTACACCTCACTGTGATTTTACTTTGTATTTCTTCAATGGCTAATGATTTTGAACATCTTTCTGTGTGGTTATTTGCCATTCATATGTCTTGTTTAGTGAAATGTCTAGTTATGTCTTTTTTCCATTTACTAGTTGCATTTCTTTTTAGTGCTGAGTTTTGAAATTCTTTGTGTGTATAGATATTAGTTCATAGTTGGATATATAGATTTAAAATATTTTCCCCCAGTCTATAGCTTATTTTTTTCCTCCACTTCACATGGATTATCACAGTTTGTAACTTGCCAAGTTCGTAATTTTGATTAGGTCTAATTTATTAATTAAATGGTTTGTGCTTTTGATGTCAAGTCAAAGAACACTGGTTAGGTCTAGGTTCAAAAAGTTTTCTCTCATTTTTTTTTCTAAAAGTTGTACAGTTATAGCCTTCATATTTAAGTCCATGTTTTATTTTGATTTAATTTTTATATGAGATGTGAGACAGGTCAAAGTTTTTTTTCGTTTTTTGTTTTTTGTTTTTTGCCTACAGATATCCAATTGCTCAAGCACTAGTTGTTGAAAAGACTATCATCAGTTCATTGAGTTGTTTTTGCACCTTTGTCAAAAATCAGTTTGCCATACTTATGTGGGGCTATTTCAGGATACTCTATTCTGTTTTATTGATCTATGTGTCTATTTATTCACTAATATGGCACTGTCTTGTTTATTGTAGCTATACGGCAGGCCTTAATATCAGATACTGTAATTCCTCCTATGTAACTTTTCTCTTTCAAGATTGTTTTACCTTTCTTAGGGCCTACATCATTCCATATAAAATTTAGGATAAACTTGTCAATGTCTACAAAATCATCTTGCTGAATTTTGATAGAAATACCATTATACCAATACATCAAAATTTCGGATGAATTGACTTCTTTACTATGTTTACGCTTTCAACTCATGAATATTGAATATCTCTCCATTTAGCTAGGTCTTTGAATTTTTTCATCAGCATTTTGTAATTTTCAGCATACTGGGTTATATTGTCTTAAAATTTATATTTGGAGTATATAAAGTATATAATTTTCTTGGGGCAATTGTAAATTATAAATAATTGTGATTTTGATTTTGGATTCCACATGTGTATTATTAGTATATAGAAATGAAATTGATTCTTGTATATTGATCTTTTATCACATGGCCTTGCTGAACTTTTCAATTCTAGAATGGTTTTTGCAGTTTTCATGGAATTTTCTACATGGACAATTATTCATCCACAAATAGAGATAGTTTTATTTATTCTTTTTAAATCTGCATGCTTTTTATTTTTTTCTTGCTTTATTGCAGAAGCAGAACTTCCAGTACTATGTTGAATAAAAGTAATGAGAGTGTACATTCTTGTCTTTTGCCCACAGAGTGAAGCGTTTTTAGTCTTTTGCTGTTAAATAGAATGTTAGTTGTGGGCTTTTTGTAGATGCTCTTTATCAGTTTGATTAAGTTTCACTCTATTCATAGTTTGCAGTTACTTTTTATTATGAGTAAGTTTTAAATTTTGACAAATAACTTTGCTGCATCAGTTGATATAATCATGAGTTTTTTTCTTAACCTGCTTATATGGTCAATTATACTGATCAATTTGTTAATGTTGAACCAGCCTTACATACTTGTACTAAATCTATGCATTACTGGATTCAATTTGCTAATATTTTGGTGATAAGTTTTGCTTCTAAGTTTATGACAGATATTGGTCTCTAGTTTTCCTTTTATTTGTAATGTCTTTGTCTAGTTTTCATATCATGGTATTAGTATTCTCATAAAATAAGTTGTGGAGGGTCCCCTTCACTTCAGTTTTCTGGACGAGATTATGCAAAATTGGAATTAATCTTATTTAAATATTTGGTAGAATTCTCCATTAAACAATCTGGGCCTGGAGGCTTCTTTTTTGGGAGACTTTTAGTCACCAATTTTTTTGTTTCATTGTTATGGTATTACTGAGGTTGTCTATTTCATCTTCATTGAGTTTTTGTAGTTTGTAGGTTTTGAGAAATTAGTCCATTTCTTCCAGATTGTCAAATTGATGAGCATAAAGTTGTTTGTAGTATGTCCTTATCTTTTTAATGGCTCAGAGTCTGTTGTAATGTCCCCTGTTTAATTCCTCATGTTAATAATTTATGTCTTCTGTTTATATTTCTCAGTCTTATGAAAGGTTTATCAATTTCATTGATTTTTTTGAAGAACCAGCTTTCATTTTTCAATTTCTGTGTTTTTTTCTATTTTCAATTTTATTGCTTTCTGCTCTTATCGTTTTTATTTCCTTTCTTCTGATTGCCTTGAGTTTATTTTTATATTCTTTTCCTAACTGCTTGAAATAGGAACTTAGATTATTTCCTTTCTTCTGGTTTAAGCAATAGTGCTATAAATTTCCCTCTCAGCACACTTTAGGTACCTCCCACAAAGTTTGATATATTTTGGTAGATGTGGAGGCCTGACTCATACTACTTTGTTCTAGCAGAATTACGATGGAAACTCCGCTCTCACTCGCCCTTCTGATACTAGGGAAAAGTGGGGAAGGAGTGGTGTGCTCATTAGCCCTGCTGCCTGTTACTTCATTTGGCTTCTTGATATTTGGTAGGGGTTGAGGCTCAGCTCTCCACTGGGCCCTGTTAAGACAAAGAAGGAGAAAATGTATCTACTATCCTTCCTCACACCACTCCATTCTGTCTCATTGATACCGGATGGAGGTGAAGGCTCAGATCCCCACTGGGGCCTACCGACACCAGAGTGGATGAAAAATAAGAGAGCCTATGAACTTTGCTCAGGCCACCTTATTCCGTCTTGTTACTGCCAGAGTGATACAGGAGTTCAGCTCCCCAGTGGGCTTCCCTGGGGAAGGGAAGTTAGAGAAATAATGGAGGGCCTTATTAACCCCAACTTCTACCATCTTGTTCAGTCTCAGCGATGTTAGATGAGGTGGAGGCTCAGCCCCACACTCAGCCCCATTGACACCATGGAGAGGAGATGCATGAATTCTAATAGTGGATAGTCTCACGTCTCACTCCACCATCAAGTCTCATTATTGCTGGGTTTTCATGGATGCTCAGATTATAGCTGGATCTCACTGAAACTACTCAAATGGGAGAACTGGGGCACTGCTACTGGTAGGTGGAGAATAGAAGGTCAGTTTCCAGCCATGTCCTACTAAAACCACTGGCTAGGGGATTAGAGGACCACCACCTTCTTCCATGGGGTAGAGTGAAAGTAGGGGATTAACTCCACACTCACCCCACTGAAACCATGAGGTTTGTGTTTGTTTGTATGTATTTTTTAGGTTTGTGTTTAGCTGCAGTAGGGCAGGTATTGCCAAAAAAGGTTTTCTGTCTTTAGGCCATTCTTTTTCCAGTCCTTTGCTACTGAAGACAGGCTTTTCTTGGAGCTTTTCCTGCCTGGGCCTATTGGTAGCTCCAAGTTGTAGGCTTTTTCAGCACCTTGTTCAGGGTATATGAGAGGCAGAAAGGAAACCCAGATAATTGATTATCTTGGGATCCTCAAGTCCTTTTCAGTGTTTACCATGCTTGTTGCCTTATATCCAGGCATCGTAAGTGTGAGTACCAAGGAAAAATAAGGCTACTCCATCATGGTGAAACCAGCTGATTTACTTTTTTTTTTTTTTTTTTTTTTTTTTTGAGACAGAGTTTCGCTCTGTCACCCAGGCTGGAGTTCAGTGGCATGATCTCGGCTCATTGCAACCTCTGCCTCCCAGGTTAAAGCGATTCTCCTGCCTCAGCCTCCTGAGTGGCTGGGAGTACAGGCGCCCACCACCACACCCGGCTAATTTTTGTATTTTTAGTAGAGACGGGGTTTCACCATGTTGGTCAGGCTGGTCTCAAACTCCTGACCTTGTGATCCGCCCACCTCGGCCTCCCAAAGTGCTGGGATTACAGGCCTGAACCACTGCGCCTGGCCCAGCTGATTTACTTTTAAGAACCACTTGGCCAACTCTATTTTTATATAAGCCAGTTTATAATCTGCACACAGTATTTTTATTTTATTTTATTTTATTTTATTTTTGCTTTCTAATCTTTTCACATGTCTCTGATTCTCATGGGCTTTACATGGTCAGTCTGGCTATTGCTTATAATTCACTCTGTGAATTACAGTTAGTACTTTTGGGCCTTCAATGTTAAGTAGTTCTTGGAATAGTATCTTCTTTATATAGCACCCAAAGCTTTCCTACTAGTTGAAACCTGGAATTACCTTTTCCAAAGCTTTTCAAAATATATTTTCAACTATAGATTTATAGTACTGATTTGCCATCATCTTGACTATGCTTATTGTTCTCTTGGTTGGAATCACCTTAGATTAGTAAATTTGAATGTTAAAATGGGTCTATAAAGATAAAGCACATTCATGTGCTACATGTTGTTAATTTAAGAATCTTATCATTATATTTACCATTCTCCTATTTCTAACAAATTATCTATTTAAAAATAGAGAGGAAAATGTAACATCTGGTATAGAAATGTTACAACGATTTTATTTTAAATAAATGAGTAGTTGATCCATGAGGTAGATGGCTACAATTTTTTTGCCTGGTCTTAATTTTTGTACAGGGAATTGTTGAATTTGCCACAAATGCCAAAATTCACCACAGATGCCAAAACTAAAACTATACAGAAAGAAAACAGATAACCTTTAAAAATATTCATTTCAGATGTATAATGAAGGTCAGTATTTCTCTAGTATTGAATAGAATTAAAATGATGAACACATTGTATTTTGTAATGATTGATATTTTATATTGAACCCCATCGAAATGTCATATTTTTTCCAAGATTCACGAAATGATTCCCTTTACACATACATGATACATTCATTATTTACCATAGCACCTACTATATTTGCAGCTTCACAGAAAAATTATAAAATGTTTATCTTTGAATTTCAGCAGCTGATGAACTCTTTTTAAAATTTTTAAATCTTTTTGTACTTCATCTGAGGGAAGGGGAGCCGATTGGTTGTATAAAAATTATGTCTTCTATCTTCAAGCTCAGTGACTCTCTAACCTGCACGTTTAGAATCCTTTGGGAACTATTAAGATGCACTCAAGCACAGGTGCACTTGCAGAAATTCTGCTATAACATTGAATTCTGGCATGGGTGTTTGTAAAGGTTTTCCAGGTGACTTTAGGAGTACCAACTCATCTCTTGCATCTTTGTAGGCATTACAACATCTGTAGTTATCTTCATAAAATGGAAACAGATTGAAATATTGGAATTTTAGAAAGTACAGATGTGCCTACTATCGATAAGTTTGACTAAATTAATTGTGTCACAGAAAGGGTTTTTTATTTTAAATAAGGAGAAAATAATTTCAAGTTCAATAAAAAATCCAATATTAGCACTTATTTGTGCCTATTGGTCCTTGTAATCTGCAAACAAGATAGCTTTTTATTGTAAATAAAGCAATTTATTTTCTTTTCTCTTCTTACCTCCCCCATGTGGGATTTTGATTTAGCGATTCTCATACTGTTTAGATATTCTTTATGTAGCATCAGTCGTCTATTATAGCTTTCCAACGGTCTGTTAAGAATCCTTGAAACTGATATGTGACTCCGATCCACACAGCTGAGCCCAGTACTGAGTAGCTCATTTCATCTTGTAAGCAAGCACTTTGGAAATCAAGATAGCAAATTAGAGTCAGACATATGTGATCAATATAAGCTTGTGTTCTTCCTCTGTGTAACTACTTACTTATGTGCAAATCCTTTTGCATCACTAGGTCTACTCTCCTAATTTAGTAAATTGAGGTAGCAACCCCTCAGAGATGCTCTTCATATTACCCAATTAAGAAGACAGAATCTCTTGACTACAAATTGATAAATGAATATTATGTAGTGGAACTGTAACTATATCTTTTCTGAGAATTTACCTCTATGATGAAAATTTATTACAAGTATTAAAAAATAGCCGACTTAGATTAGATTATCAATTAAAAAACCCAAGGATCTGCCATATCCAAAGCTGTATAGCATATATAACCATACTCATAAGAAATATGGTATACTAACTCCCTGCTCTCACTAATTTATAATATAACTAAAAAGATAAGAACATGTAAGTAGCAACTAACTAAGGTGAAATATATTTTATGTAATTAATAAGTTGAATTCAATAAAAGATGCATTTTTTTCTATTATTACTGTAACATATTACTACACATTTAGTGGCTTAAAACAACACAAACTTACTATCTTACAGTTCTGGAAGTCAGAAGTCCAAAATATGTCTCATTGTGCTAAAATCAAGATGTCTATAGGGTTGTGTTTCTTTCTGGAGGCTTTGGAGGATAATGCATTTTCTTTTCTTCACCTGTTTCTAGAGACCACATGCTTATCTTGGACCATGTCCTTGCTTTCTCCATCTTCATAACGAGCAATATCAGGCTGAATTCTTCTCATACTTCCATCTCTCTGTCTCTCTCCTCTGTCTCCTTCCTTCCCTTACAAGGGCCTTGGGATTATATTGGGCATACTTGAAAAATGCAGCATAATGTCCTCCTCTTAATGTCAGCTGAGTAGCAACCTTAATTTCATATGCAATCTGAATTCTCCATTTCCATATAACCTAACACATTCACAGGTTCTAGCAATTGGGATGTAGGCATATTTGTTGGGAGTGGGGGCTGGGAGGTGTTGGGGAGTCATTTTCCACTTTCCACAGAAGGTATGTAAGCAGAAACGTTTGGCTGGAAAGGGAGGTTTATATACACAAAGATAAGAAGATACATCTGAGAAAGCATTTTAGGGTCAAATTGTAGAGGTTTCTGAAAGACAAATGGGGATTTTAAATCTTATCTATAAGGCAATAGAAGACCATCAAAATGCCTGAGGGAAGAGAGAGATGATCCAAGCAAGCAAAGTAAAAAGATAAGTGAAAAGCACTCTACAAGTGAAGTAAGTAGCAAAGACCAGTTGGAGGAAGATCAGTTTTGAGGCTCTGGCTGTGGTTCAGGTGTGAGATGGTAACGCTTTGGGTTAATGTGATATAAACAAGACTACTCAGAGTCTAGTAGAGAAGACATTGAAACACACATGACTCTGATGTTCCAAACCTGGAAAAGTAGGAAAATTGATGGCACCATTAATGGAAGTGGAATTGAATGTTTTTAAATTTAAAATATATAGTGATATAGTAATTACCAATATAGCACATAAAAAACAATTCTTTAAATATTTTTCACTTATCTCTTGTAACCCAGAAGACTCAAAGTTCCACTGGAAATCGACCACACTCTAGGTAGATTTTAATAAGTACTGACATAAGAAAGAGTGGTAAAACAAAAATGCTCTTTAGGATGTGATGAGCATACCTTATTTCAAAAACTTCTGGGCATTCTTTAATTTTGAAAAAGACATTAGAGATATTTTCTTAAATGGGAGATTTTTTCTGTAGTTTTATTGGCCCTCACCCAGAAAAGAATGAAGTTGGAAAATGTTTTGTACTAATGAGAAAGTGATGAGATTAACAAGACGGCATGAAATTTGTGTGTGCATAACTAAAGATTAAGATGCTAGCAACAGATTGTGTAATTCTTACAAAGGATAAAAAGGAAATTAAATAAGAATTCTTCTACCATCTTAATGAGTCTCTTTCCCCATCCTACCCTCATATTTCTTGAATGTCTGCTTCCTTTATATTTAACATAAACTTAACTAACCTTATACAATTCATCAGTGGCTTTGTAATAGCAGATTACAGACTTATTAACAAACTATTGCAGCATTTCACAAGAAACATACTGTTAAAAAATACAATGTTAAAAAGAAATATGTCCAGATCTGACAAAAGAGATGGAGGAGGTGTCCACATGTTCAACACACAGTCTAATGGAGTCACTGAACATTTCAAAACCACCCTTCAGCATTCAAGAGTAGCCTCAGAGTTCTTACAAAGGCACATTCTGAGATGTTTATCCTTTAGGAAGTGCTGACTCCAAGACTCTAACTTAGAGAATTCTGTTTTGACATAATCAGTTCTGGTTGATGTGTTGTTAGATACCATGCAATGAGCCAGCTGCACATAATACTATTCATTCTAGCTGACTGGTCTTTGCCAACCTTTGTCACAACCCTGAATACTTGCTTTTGAGCAAGAATAGGCTCAGTGTACTGAATGCTATTGGATCTCAGCATCATAGGGCTGCTATATTCAGCCCTGGAAAAGTAAACATTGGCCAATGCAACTAAAATCTAGGACCTGTCACAATGATTCTTTTTCTTACTGATGTTGCCTGGCTGGGGACAGTGATCAGAAATATAATAATAAAAATCAATAAAATAAAATACCTTTGTTACACTTGCAGTTTACAGAGGGTTTATAAATATGCAACATAAATCAAGGAGGGAAGGCTAATTAAGTATGTTCACGGTATAAGCTTAGCTTAGACTGTCCTTTATCTTCCTATTTCTTCCCCGTTTCTGTTCTTAGTTATTTCTCTACTGTTTATTAAGGGAAAGCTTTGCTCAATTTCTAGTTTGGGGCAATTATTCCTGCTGTCACTGTTAAGAAATTTGGCAAGTCAGTGTTAACTGTAAGTGATACAACTTGCCACAATGTAACCAGTTCAAATTATAAAAGTTATATAGCTAATATAGTGACTATTTTAAAACTTTATAACCAATTTTTATCATTAACCTTCTAGAGCAGATGCATGTGCATAATATCTGCCTCATACATCATGAAAATATAAACATATCAACAGATTGAGTGCCTAGGTACAAAAACCTATATTACATAGACCAGGACTATGAAAATCAATGCCATTACAGCATCTCCCTTCCAGGGGGGTACATGCTATTATAGTCAAATGCAAGATCCTTTATACTCAAGAAGTATTTTTTAATTTTCAAAATCTACTGATTATAGAAAATTAAACTTTATGGAAGTTAGACATGTGTTTGCTATAAGTCTTCACAGACCAATTAAAATATCAAGAGCAGTAAGCACTTTTATAGTGATCCCGTGCGCCAGGAACCATTCTAAGTGCTTTACGCATATGAACACACTTAATCCTCACAATGACATTCTGTGGGTGTGATTATTTTCCAATTTATAACCTTTTGAGTTTCTTTGCCCTTGGCTATATTTATGATTATCGAATCTTCAACTGGCTCTTATTTAGTGGAAGGAACTAATGGAAATGAGTTGTTACTTATTATGAACAATTTTTTGTGAAGACTTCTTTTATTCAAATCTTGAGGTTCATAAAGTAGAGAGCAAATAATAGAAAAGGTTCTGGGTGGTTAAAAAGTTATGAATCAATGATTAATGTAAAAGTGACTAGGCCCACTTACTTAAAACATATTATCATTTTGCTGTTGATAATCGTTTTGCATGTAAAGACAATGTATGTCAGAAAAAAATGAAAATTGTGTGTGTGTTGGGGGTGGGGTTACCTCAGAGGGAAGAGATGATGAAGTTATCTTAGAGATCCTTGAAAATCACCCTCGGATTAGTTCTCCTAACCACACAATTCCCAAGAGCTTGTGAGATCCTGTCCTATGGCACTGGGAGATGGAGATATCAGTCTCATTCTAAGGACCATCTGAAATGGTATAAAAATGCAATTAGTTCATGATGAAGCTGGTAGATAACCACAGATTAGATTCTCATTCCCTCACTTTCTCAAGCTTTTTTTTTTTTTTCCATGCTTTTTCTTTTTTCTCTCTCTCTCTTTTTTTTTATTATACTTTTAAGTTTTAGGGTACATGTGCACAACGTGCAGGTTCGTTACATATATATACATATGTGCCATGTTGGTGTGCTGCATCCATTAACTCGTCATTTAACATTAAGTTTATCTCCTAATGCTATCCCTCCCCACCCCCCACACCCCACAACAGGCCCCGGTGTGTGATGTTCCCCTTCCTGTGTCCATGTATTCTCATTGCTCAATTCCCATTTATGAGTGAGAACATGAGGTGTTTGGTTTTTTGTCCTTGCGATAGTTTGCTGAGAATGATGGTTTCCAGCTTTATCCATGTCCCTGCAAAGGACATGAACTCATCATTTTTTATGGCTGCATAGTATTCCATGGTGTATATGTGCCACATTTTCTTAATCCAATCTCTCATTGGTGGACATTTGGGTTGGATCCAAGTCTTTGCTATTGTGAATAGTGCCGTAATAAACATACGTGTGCACCTGTCTTTAGAGCAGCATGATTTATAATCCTTTGGGTATATACCCAGTAATGGGATGGCTGGGTTAAATGGTATTTCTAGTTCTAGATCCCTGAGGAATCACCACACTGACTTCCACAATGGTTGAACTAATTTACAGTCCAACCAACAGTGTAAAGTTCCTATTTCTCCACATCCTCTCCAGCACCTATTGTTTCCTGACTTTTGAATGATCGCCATTCTAACTGGTGTGAGTTGGCATCTCATTGTGGTTTTGATTTGCATTTCTCTGATGGCCAGTGGTGATAAGCATTTTTTCATGTGTCGTTTGGCTGCAGAAATGTCTTCTTTTGAGAAGTGTCTGTTCATATCCTTCTCCCACTTTTAGATGGGGTTGTTGGTTTTTTTCTTGTAAATGTGTTTGAGTTCATTGTAGATTCTGGATATTAGCCCTTTGTCAGATGAGTAGATTGCAAAAATTTTCTCCCATTCTGTAGGTTGCCTGTTCACTCTGATGGTAGTTTCTTTTGCTGTGCAGAAGCTCTTTAATTAGATCCCTTCAATTTTGGCTTTTGTTGCCATTCCTTTTGGTGTTTTAGACATGAAGTCCTTGCCCATGCCTATGTCCTGAATGGTATTGCCTATGTTTTCTTCTAGGGTTTTTATGGTTTTAGGTCTAACATGTAAGTCTTTAATCCATCTTGAATTAATTTTTATATAAGGTGTAAGGAAGGGATCCAGTTTCAGCTTTCTACATATGGCTAGCCAGTTTTCCCAGGACCATTTATTAAATAGGGAATCCTTTCCCCGTTTCTTGTTTTTGTCAGGTTTGTCAAAGATCAGATAGTTGTAGATATGCAGCATTATTTCTGAGGGCTCTGTTCTGTTCCATTGGTCTATATCTCTGTTTTGTTACCAGTACCATGCTGTTTTGGTTACTGTAGCCTTGTAGTATAGTTTGAAGTCAGGTAGCGTGATGCCTCCAGCTTTGTTCTTTTGGCTTAGGATTGTTTTGGCCATGTGGGCTCTTTTTTGGTTCCATATGAACTTTAAAGTAGTTTTTTCAATTCTGTGAAGAAAGTCATTTGTAGCTTGATGGGGATGGCATTGAATGTATAAATTCCCTTGGGCAGTATGACCATTTTAACGATATTGATTCTTCCTACCATGAGCATGGAATGTTCTTCCATTTGTTTGTATCCTCTTTTATTTCATTGAGCAGTGATTTGTAGTTCCCCTTGAAGAGGTCCTTCACGTTCCTTGTAAGTTGGATTCCTAGGTATTTTATTCTCTTTGAAGCAATTGTGAATGGGAGTTCACTCATGATTTGGCTCTCTGTTTGTCTGTTATTGGTATATAAGAATGCTTGTGATTCTTGCACATTGATTTTATATCCTGAGACTTTGCTGAAGTTGCTTATCAGCTTAAGGAGATTTTGGGCTGAGACAATGGGGTTTTCTAGATATACAATCATGTCATCTGCAAACAGGGACAATTTGACTTCCTCTTTTCCTAATTGAATACCCTTTATTTCCTTCTCCTGCCTAATTGCCCTGGCCAGAACTTCCAACACTATGTTGAATAGGAGTGGTGAGAGAGGGCATCCTTGTCTTGTGCCAGTTTTCAAAGGGAATGCTTCCAGTTTTTCCCATTCAGTATGATATTGGCTGTGGGTTTGTCATAGATAGCTCTTATTATTTTGAGATATGTCCCATCAATACCTAATTTATTGAGAGTTTTTAGCATAAAGGACTGTTGAATTTTGTCAAAGGCCTTTTCTGCATCTATTGAGATAATCATGTGCTTTTTGTCTTTGGTTCTGTTTATATACTGGATTACATTTATTGATTTGCATATGTTGAACCAGTCTTGCATCCCAGGGATGAAGCCCACTTGATCATGGTGGATAAGCTTTTTGATGTGCTGCTGGATTGGGTTTGCCAGTATTTTATTGAAGATTTTTGCATCAATGTTCACCAGGGATATTGGTCTAAAATTCTCTTTTTTGGTTGTGTCTCTGCCCGGCTTTGGTATCAGGATGATGCTGGCCTCATAAAATGAGTTAGGGAGGATTCCCTCTTTTTCTATTTATTGGAATAGTTTCAGAAGGAATGGTACCAGCTCCTCCTTGTACCTCTGGTAGAATTCGGCTGTGAATCCGTCTGGTCCTGGACTTTTTTTGGTTGGTAAGCTATTAATTATTGCCTCAATTTCAGAGCGTGTTACTGGTCTATTCAGAGATTCAACTTCTTCCTGGTTTATTCTTGGGAGGGTGTATGTGTAGAGGAATTTATCCATTTCTTCCAGGTTTTCTAGTTTATTTGCATAGAGGTGTTTATAGTATTCTCTGATGGTAGTTCGTATTTCTGTGGGATCAGTGGTGATAACCCCTTTATCATTTTTTATTGCATCTATTTGATTCTTCTCTCTTTTCTTCTTTATTAGTCTTGCTAGAGGCCTATTAATTTTGTTGATCTTTTCAAAAAACCAGCTCCTGGATTCATTGATTTTTTGAAGGGTTTTTTGTGTCTCTATTTCCTTCTGTTCTGCTCTGATCTTAGTTATTTCTTGTCTTCTGCTAATTTTTGAATGTGTTTGCTCTTGCTTCTCTAGTTCTTTTAATTGTGATGCTAGGGTGTCAATTTTAGATTTTTCCTGCTTTCTCTTATGAGCATTTAGTGCTATAAATTTCCCTCTACACACTGCTTTTAATGTGTCCCAGAGATTCTGGTATGTTGTGTCTTTGTTCCCATTGGTTTCAAAGAACATCTTTATTTCTGCCTTCATTTCGTTATGTGCCCAGTAGTCATTCAGGAGCAGGTTGTTCAGGTTCCATGTAGTTGAGCGGTTTTGAGTGAGTTTCTTAGTCCTGAGTTCTAGTTTGATTGTACTGTGGTCTGAGAGACAGTTTGTTATAATTTCTGTTCTCTTATATTTGCTGAGGTGTGCTTTACTTCCAAGTATGTGGTCAATTTTGGAATAGGTGTGGTGTGGTGCTGAAAAGAATGTATATTCTGTTGATTTGGGGTGGAGAGTTCTGTAGCTGTCTATTAGTTCCGCTTGGTGCAGAGCTGAGTTCAATTCCTGGATATCCTTGTTAACTTCCTGTCCCGTTGATCTGTCTAATGTTGACAGTGGGGTGTTAAAGTCTCCCATTATTATTGTGTGGGAGTCTAAGTCCCTCTTTGTAGGTCTCTAAGGACTTGCTTTATGAATCTGGGTGCTCCTGTATTGGGTGCATATATATTTAGGAGAGTTAGCTCTTCTTGCTGAATGGATCCATTTACCATTATGTAATGGCCTTCTTTGTCTCTTTTGATCTTTGTTGGTTTAAAGTCTGTTTTATCAGAGACTAGGATTGCAACCCCTGCCTTTTTTGTTTTCCATTTGCTTGGTAGATCTTCTTCCATCCCTTTATTTTGAGCCTATGTGTCTCTTTGCACATGAGATGGGTTTCCTGAATACAGCATACTGATGGGTCTTGACTGTTTATCCAATTTGCTAGTCTGTGTCTTTTAATTGGAGCATTTAGCCCATTTACATTTAAGGTTAATATTGTTATGTGTGAATTTGATCCTGTCATTATGATATTAGCTGGTTATTTTGCTCGTTAGTTGATGCAGTTTCTTCCTAGCCTTGATGGTCTTTACAATTTGGCATGTTTTTGCAGTGGCTGGTACTGGTTGTTCCTTTCTATGTTTAGTGCTTCCTTCAGGAGCTCTTTTAGGGCAGGCCTGGTGGTGACAAAATCTCTCAGCATTTGCTTGTCTGTAAAGGATTTTATTTCTCCTTCACTTATGAAGCTTAGTTTGGCTGGATATGAAATTCTGGGTTGAAAATTCTTTTCATTAAGAATGTTGAATATTGGCCCCTACTCTCTTCTGGCTTGTAGTGTTTCTGCTGAGAGATAAGCTGTTAGTCTGATGGGCTTCCCTTTGTGGGTAACCCAACCTTTCTCTCTGGCTGCCCTTAACATTTTTTCCTTCATTTCAACTTTGGTGAATCTGACAATTATGTGTCTTGGAGTTGCTCTTCTGGAGGAGTATCTTTGTGGCATTCTCTGTATTTCCTGAATTTGAATGTTGGCCTGCCTTGCTAGATTGGGGAAGTTCTCCTGGATAATGTCCTGCAGAGTGTTTTCCAACTTGGTTCCATTCTCCCCTTCACTTTCAGGTACACCAATTAGACGTCGATTTGGTCTTTTCACATAGTCCCATATTTCTTGGAGACTTTGTTCGTTTCTTTTTATTCTTTTTTCTCTAAACTTCTCTTCTCATTTCATTTCATTCATTTGATCTTCCATTACTGATAGATACCCTTTCTTCCAGTTGATCGAATCGGCTACTGAGGCTTGTGCATTAATCATGTAGTTCTCGTGCAGTGGTTTTCAGCTCCATCAGGTCCTTTAAGGACTTCTCTGCATTGGTTATTCTAGTTAGCCATTCATCTAATCTTTTCTCAAGGTTTTTAACTTCTTTGCCATGGGTTCAAGCTTCCTCCTTTAGCTCAGAGTAGTTTGATCATCTGAAGCCTTCTTCTCTCAACTCGCCAAAGTCATTCTCCATCCAGCTTTGTTCCGTTGCTGGTGAGGAGCTGCATTCCTTTGGAGGAGGAGAGGCGCTCTGATTTTTCGAATTTTCGGTTTTTCTGCTCTGTTTTTTCCCCATCTTTGTGGTTTTATCTACTTTTAGTCTTTGATGATGGTTATGTACAGATGTGGTTTTGGTGTGGATGTCCTTTCTGTTTGTTAGTTTTCCTTCTAACAGTCAGGACCCTCAGCTGCAGGTCTGTTGGAGTTTGCCGGACGTCCACTGCAGACCCTCTTTGCCTGGGTATCAGCAGTGGAGGCTGCAGAACAGTGGATATTGGTGAACAGTAAATGTTGCTGCCTGATCGTTCCTCTGGAAGTTTTGTCTCAGAGGAGTACATGGCCATGTAAGGTGTCATTCTGTCCCTACTGGAGGGTGCCTCCCAGTTAGGCTACTTGGGGTTCAGGGACCCACTTGAGGATGCAGTCTGTCTGTTCTCAGATCTCAAGCTGCATGCTGGAAGAACCACTACTCTCTTCAAAGCTGTCAGACAGGGACATTCAAGTCTGCAGAGGTTTCTGCTGCCTTTTGTTTGGCTATGCCCTGCCCACAGAGGTGGAGTCTACAGAGGCAGGCAGGCCTCTTTGAGCTGCAGTGGGCTCCACCCAGTTCGAGCTTCCCAGCCGCTTTGTTTATCTACTCAAGCCTTGGCAATGGTGGGCACCCCACACCCAGCCTCGCTGCTGCCTTGCAGTTTGATCTCAGACTGCTGTGGTAGCAATGAGTGAGGCTCCATGGGTGTAGGACCCTCTGAGCCAGGCATGTGGTATAATCTCCTGGTGTGTCATTTGCTAAGACCATCGGAAAAGCACAGTATTAGGGTCGGAGTGACCCAATTTTCCAGGTGCTGTCAGTCACCTCTCTCTTTGGCTAGGAAAGGGAATTCCCCGACCCCTTGTGCTTCCCGGGTGAGGTGATGCCTCGCTCTGCTCCACCTCAGGCTCAGTGCACTGCACCCACTGTGATGCACCCACTGTCTGACAATCCCCAGTGAGATGCACTTGGTACCTCAGTCAGAAATGCAGAAATCGTTTGTCTTTTGCATCGCTCACAGTGGGAGCTGTAGACTGGAGCTGTTCCTATTCAGCCTTCTTTTCTCCACCCCCTCCTTCTCAAGCTTTTTAAAAAATTATTCTTCCTAGGCAATTCAATTCAAGTTCAGGGACCCAAATAACCTATTCTATCCTGTCTCAAAACTTGCTTTCATGAATAAAGTCTCCAGAGCTGAGTTTAACACACTAAGCTTCTAGGTCTCAGTTATGAGAAAGGGTGAGTCCATTTAAGTCTGCAATTTTCCTTGAAATATTTCCTTTGTCAATTTAACATTCACCTTCCTTGACCCTCCTCTCATACGAAGTCATGCAGGCATAATTTTATTAGCTATTCCTCAGCTCACATTCCATAAAACTCCTGCATACTTCACTTGCTGTCTGTTGTCCCCCTTCAAATTTGAACAAGTTTCTTTCCTTGTATAGACTCATTTCCACATGGAGTTTCACTAAGACCTACTGGAATGAGAAAATAGCCTTAATTGATATATACGCTCAGGCTTTTTATACTGCCAGGTATTATCCAGATGGTATCAGAGATAACAGCATCATAAACTGTAACTTTTAATGATCTCCAGTTTGAAATATGGAAGCAGCCTACAGCCATACCACCCTGAATGTGCCCGATCTCATCTGAGATATGGAAGCAGTGTTTCACGTGGACAAAAATTGCAAGAGATTTTTGCTTAACAAATATTCAATTACAATTAAAATTGATAGTTTTGTCATGCAGGAAGCAAATTTATTTTCCTTGGAAAGTTAAAGAATGTATCCAAAATAGGGAATTTTTTAAAAATCTCAAAAGTTTTGGGGTACAGGTGGTTTTTGGTTAGATGAATAAATTATTTGGCAGTGATTTCTGAGATTTTACTGCACTGATCACCTGAGCATCTATGCCGTACCCAGTATGTTGTCTTTTATCCCTCACCTGCCTCACAACCTTCCCTGCCAAGTATCCAAAGTCTATTAAATGTTCCTTATGCATTTGCATCCTCATAGTTAGCTTGCACTTGTAACTGAAAACATACAATATTTGGTTTTCTATTCTTTAATTATTTCACTTAGAATAATGGCCTCCATCTCCATCCAAGTTGCTGCAAAAGATATTGTTTCATTCGTTTTTATGGGTGAGTAGCATTCCGTGGTCTATATATACCATTTTATTTATCCACTTGTTGGTTGATGGGCACTTAAGTTGGTTCCATATCTTTGCAATTGCGAATTCTGCAGCTATAAACATGCATTTACATGTGTCTTTTGCATATATATAATGACTTTCTTTCCTTTAAGTAGATACCAAGTGGTGAGATAGATTGCCAGATCAAATGGTAGTTCTACTTTTAGTTCTTTAAGGAATCTCCATACTGTTTTCCATAGTGGTTGTATTAATTTACATTCCCACCAGCAGTATAAAAGTGTTCCCCTTTAGCCACATTCATGCCAACATATATTGTTTTTTGACTTTTTAATTATGTCCATTCTTGCAGGAGTAAGGTGGTATCTCATTGCAGTTTTAATTTGCATTTCCCTGATGATTAGTGATGTTGAACATTTTTTAATGTGTTCATTGGTTGGTTGTCTAATCTTCTTTTGAGAAAGGTCTATTCATGTCCTTTGCCCACTTTTTGATGGGATTGCAAAATAGGGAATTTTAAAGAAAACAAAACAAAAATTACACAGAAAAAATCATGAGACCTTTTTATTTAAACAGAAAGAGGAAAGAAGGGAGTGAAAGAATAAGTGAGGAAGGGTAGGAGGGAGGAAGGGAGGAAAAAGAAGGTAGGAGGGAAGGAAGGTAGGTTATCTGTGTCAAAAATGTAATTTTATGTAATGACTAAAGAGAATCTTCACATCATATGAGTTACATATTATAAACCTTTCATAATAAGTACAAGGTACAAAGGTAATTATTTAGTTTGTTTATGGATGCTTAATTATGTATTTAATAACTTTTACTTCTTCTGGTCTAAGAAATTATGAAGATAAATACTTACCTTTCTTGCTTCATCTGAACTCACTATGGGTTTACTGTAAATACTTACTTACTTATGTCCCCTAAGGGAAAATATGAAACAACAACCACTCCCCCCCCAACTACACACACCACCCAAATATAATAACAATAATTCAAATTATTGGGACAAATTTGATCCATGTCATGCTGGTACTATGCCTGACTCTACAAACACTGCCACTTTTTTTAAATCTCTAATGAACAAATTTTCTTTAGTCTTTTAATCTATTCAGGTAGTAACAACGCTAATATTTTCATTTCAGGAAAATGAAAACAACAAATGATATGCACTAGCTTGAGGAATTCTTACTCAAGGTTTAATTTTCTTTGACAGTTCAGATTGTTCTCTGTGGTATGAAGCCAGAAACAGCTGATAAAAATGCTTTATATATGCATATGTTCACACACCAACATACATGATTAATCATATTTGAATATGACACACACACACAAATAGAAATATACACTTACAATGTTCAAATCAGTAATCGATTTAAAGCATCTTAATACCCTATTTCAATATTCTAAAACTCTATCAAGACATATTACAGTGAAATAATCTGGATTTAAACCACATATTGTGAAATAATCTGGATTTAAACCACATATTATGAGAAGAAATATTTTTATTAATTTTTATTGAAAATATACCAAAACTTTAAATAGATACACAAATGGAATCTTGTGATAACATTTTTGAACTACAGGATACTTTAGTTTGGTAAAAACACGTTTCGTGCCAGCAGCAGAATATACTATACC